>NC_000006.12:15363030-15514545 GCF_000001405.40 Homo sapiens
TTTAGATTATGATTGGAGATAAGGGGACGGCAGAAGAATCAAACTTGAAGGTGGTGGAGGTGATGAAACAGCAGAAAAGGTATTTTAGTGTGGCAGGAAAACCAGGGGAGAGTCCAGTTGCCGATAAAAAGTTTGCGTTAAATTTGGCAATTAGAGTGTTTCTCATGGCAGTGAGAACAGTTTTCCTGGAAGACTAGGATGAAAGTTGAATAGGCTGCATGTCTGCTGTTCAAACACCAGCACTTCTCACGTGTAATCCCTGAACCAGCAGCATTAGCATCACCTGAGAGAATCTCAGCGAAAGGAGGCTGTGCACAGTGTGTGTTCACAAGCCCTGGGAGTGTTCCTGATGTCTGCTCAAGTTTGCCACCATTGCCTTAGATAATTATTTGTTTTACACATGAGCCACTGTAAGATTCACAGAATTCCAGAATTGGAATCCAGGCTTCTTTGTACCTCTCACTCTTTCCACCTGCCACCTGTTTCCCTGTGTTGTGTCTTGGAATGGCCTTCAAGTGCCTGCTACGTGCTGGACTCATTGCTATGTCTCAGGAACATAAAAGGCGAGTAAGACACAGACTAGTCAGAATGTGATCTGTACTACTTCACACCTCTGAACCTCAGTTTCAGCATTTAAAAATGTTTGTGTGATAAGTATGCTAGTTGAAAAATGTGGAAGAGAATATGTACAGGAAATGTGTGTGCCCTGTCGCTTGGTGGACACACGTTATTAGTGGGAAATGCTTTTTGGAGGGAAAATGTGCATCAGAATGGTTTCTGGAGGCCCATACCTGTAATGAAAGGGTGCCAATCCCAGGGTGGTTATTAATTATTGGGAGGGCTGGAGGACACAGGAAGGGGTTAAGGCATATGAGACAACTTTATCTGTTTCTGGAAAAAATAAGGCAATATGTCAGTTTATGTTAAGTCCAAGGACAGAGTTTATTTGTAGACTTTCTGTTAGTGTGGAAATTTGCATGAGATAGACAAAAATAAACTGGTGGTTTGTAATATAACATGACCAGAGATAACCAGTCTTGTGACAATATACGTATACTTCTGTTTATTTCCTTGCTGGGGTTCGGGTGGGGTAGTTATTGTTCAACCAAAAAAGCCAGCGAGTCAGTCAGGCATTGATTGATCTCATAAAATGATCCCCCAGCAGTGTCCTGGGTCCTGGTGGAAGAAACAGCAGCACTAACTCCTTTCCATCACCCACAGGGCCGTAATTCTAACCAGCCCTGTCAGTAAGGGGCAACCATGAATCAAATCAAGCCTGTTTTGGCCACCCTGTGGGTACTTGGAGACTGGCTGGTGGATAGGACTGGTTTTTGTCTGGCCTCAATCCCGGAGGCTTTATTTTGTAGTGATTTCCTTAGAAAAGGATTTGAAGGTGTAGGAAAGCAGTGTGTCTTCAAGGCTTTGCAGACAGACTTTACTTCATCTTCAGGATGTTTCCTGCAAGAGGGGTTTCCTGCAAAACCCCTAGAGGCCAGATGTGCCCCACAGGACTGGAACCACTTCCAACCTGGAGAGTTGTATGAGTGGATGTCTGCACTTTGAATAGTTCTTGCCTGCTTTAGACTCTAATTTTCTTGTAAAAGATTTCTTATCTCCCACAGTTTTCTTGGTAAATGGAGTAACACATAAGGCACATAAGACTCTCAGGGACGTAGTAAAATGCACTATCACGTAACACGCAATGTCAATTGAAACCCTATCCAATTTAATGCAGATATGTCAGTGCTGTCCAAAAGAACTTCTTGTGATGACAGAACCGTTCTGTAGCTGTGTTGTCCATTGACAGGTGGTCGGATTGTGGCCATTGAGTAACTGAAATGTGACCAGCATGACTCAAGGACCTTAATTTTAAATTTTAATTGAGTTAATTATAAGTACTTACATGTGACTAGTGGCTACTGTATTAGACGGTGCAGATTAGAATGTGGCATTTGGGGATTTTTTGGGGGTATATCATAATGAACATAAAAAGGCATTAGTGATTAAAAGATCCAAATATTAGAATTTCTTTGTAAATAAATTAACATAAATTCCCAAGGAAATTCTAGTAACATAAATTCCCAAAGTGAAGTCATATATAGTTGCACACTGGCATTGGTGATATTGAACTATTTATTTGATTTGATTTTTGAAGACACTGGCCAATAATTTATTTGTAATTTGATTTCCTCGCCACCACTCCATCAGTGAAGGTACATTGACAATCCAGGTGTCTGTTAGATGCTGGAAGATAATCCTGCTGTAGATCTTGGGTCTTTTTTGATTACATTGAAAAAGCGAACCGTCAGATCCAGCACTGCAGGAGGTTTTAATGCCGTGTTGCGTGGTTCTGGCTGCTCTGTTCCCTGACTGCACCCTTTAACCATGAGCGTGCGGACGTCTTGCTGCCATGCTGCTGCCTTGACGACGGCGGATGTCTGACATGCTCAGACGCAAAAGAGCTGACTTGGCAGCTGCCCAGCAGATTTTTATAAAGGCTCAGTTGGTGGCCGGAGATTCAGCCTGTCAGAGTTGTGTTATGCAATAAATCGTTTTCAGCAGAAGTTCTTAATCCAATTTCAGCTGCAGCTTTTTTTTTTTTTAAATAGGCAGTAATCAAAGATAAGTACACATTATTTAATGGGAGTTTGGAAGAAGTAAAACTCTCCTTGCAGAAGCATTTTCAGGCCGTTTACCCTAACCTGGGAAGCATGTCTGTCTGAAGAAATTTGCTGCTTTGAAGTGCTTTTAATTTAAACCCTAGGCAAGGGAACATCATTCACAAGTTCAGTAAGTAAGTTTCTTCTCTCAAGATGTTTCCTGGCCCCTTATTTCCAGTTGTGAATGTTACTCAGGCTTCACTTTATTTGAATATTGACAGACTACTTTTTTTTTTTGGAATTAAATCAATTGGAAATTATTAGTACTACTGTTACTTTGTTAAAAGGGAAGAAAAGGTTATTTTAGACAAAGTTGAAGTTGTACCTTTCTCATTTTCCTTCATCACCCCCAACCCCATTTTTGTTTACACTTAATCTGTGGGAAGAATCAACATTCCCTCCCAATTTTTTATTTGGTGCTTTCGTTTTTCTCTCAAAGTGTTGCTGGAACAGGTTTGGCATATCAGGCAGCCACAAGTTGTTTCAAGTAGGGTGATTTAACAGCAGGTATATGAGAAACACGTTCTGAAAATAAAAGGCATTCATGTACAGGATTCCAGTCATTTATCCTTGGGAGGAGGAAATAGCAATCAATCCTTTCCTTGTCCATGGGCCTAGTTTTTTAGAATGTTTTTTTTCATTTGCTATTCAGCTCTGTACGGCTGTTGTTCAGATCCACCATCCTTAATCCCATGATATGACATTGCATGTTGGTCCTTTGGGCATTGGAGTCAGGAAAAGCACTTCTTTTTCTTTTTGAAAGTAGCCACATCCCTCCACCTGTAGAGCTCTAGCGATCTCTATATGTGGGTGGGGGGCGGGGGGGGCGGGGGGGGTGGGGGGTGGGGTTGGCAACTCCAATTGCCATGTCTTAGCATTTCTGTGAATTTTAATAAAGAGGCTCTGTGTTAGGAGATCTTCCTGCCTGTGATCCTGAGTGCTCCTTTCCTTGGTCTCCTATGGCCCCATCAATTCGAAGGCGATTTCTGCATTTCAGTTGGTTTTAGGTACTAGGGGTTGTGAAGAGCCTTTGATGTCCTGTGCCCCTGCCCAGTGGAAGCAGGATTGTTTTTTTGCAGCACCTTCCGTAAGTGCACCTAGGTTGCCACCTTCTGCCTCTTTATCACCAGGTTGTTATTTAAAACATTGGTGGGGGGTCTGAATTCCAACTTTAGAACAGATGTGTGTCACACTTACAATCCTGCTATGTCTATGTTATATTTGTTTTATAATATTTATTGTAGTGGCTTTATTTCTTTTTGGAGATATGGTTAAAAAAAAAGTCTTTGTGTCATTGTAGGCTTTTTTTGGTTTGTTTTTAATTGATTCAGATTTCCTGGAAGGGGCCTGGTAGAGTTGGTTGACCCATGACCCAGTTTCCACGAGGTATTTCCCTGTCGTTACTACCAGTGCCCTTGATTTGGGTAATAAATGACTTGACCACTCTACCTGTGAAGCATGAGTGTCTAAGGTAGTTTGCCTGCAAGTGATAGGAAATTAACTGTCTTCCATTTTTAAATAGATGTAATTGTCAGAAAATTGATTTTTAATTGATCAGAAATGTGTTTTCCTTTAACCCATGCTTTTTCATCTTTGTTTCCTTCTCCCAAATCAAGATGGCCTGAATTTGAAACCATAATAAAAACCAAGGTATGAACAAATTGCATAACGATGGTTTGCCAATTGTAGGCTAGTAATAGAAAATTCCTTCCCCTACTCCCACTTCTATCCCCACTACTAATAATAGTTTTTTTTCATATATTGTTTACATGAAGCCTCTGCAAACCAATAATTTTAATTTTGCTTTTACCTAGGAGTCAGTGTGAGTTACATATTTAACATCTCTGGCTACTAACACATTTCTGAGTTTTGAAATTTTACTTCCTGATCTGATATCTGCCATGGACTGACTACCAATGCCACATTTGCGTCAAGACTCTGGAATTCATCTCTAGAAATAACTAAAAGTTTCACGATTACTTCGTTTCCCCCATACCTTTGACTCTAAAGGGAGAAAGCAGTGGTGTGGACCTTATACTAAAGGAAGGCTGAGCAGAGAAATCATGATTATTAAATGCAGGTGGTGCTGAGCTCACTGCCCAACTCCTGCTTCCCCAGGAGAGGTTTGCTGTTAGTACAATCATGATGGAGTTTTCAAGTCTTTCCAGTCGACTCCAAGTATCATCCTCTGGGTGGCACCCATTCTGCGAGCTTTACTGACCTGGATGTCTCTGTTTTCTTGCACTAATGTACTTGAGTCCTTTTCAGAGATTTTTGAGGGCCCATATTATTGAAGAGTTGGCTGTCACTGCAGAACACCATCCTGTAAAGGCTTTTTCTTGGTGGGTGATCCAACCAACCTTGAGACAAATTATAAGAACTCTTGGTGTAGTTAGAAACTATATCAAAACAATCTGGTTTTTAAAAGTGTGGATCATGTACCTTTTTGTCTTGTAAAGCAGTTCATTAACCTGGTCTGAATACAACTTGGTTATATTATGCACACATAGCTTTCTGTCAGTGGCCTGTACAAGGTTTTAATTTTGATGTTTTTTGTTTTTTTGTCTTTAAAATGAGTAGAGGAGAGCATCACAGGAAAATAAAATTGTATCACTGGGAGCTGTGCTTTTGGTTGGATTGGATCCTTCATTTGGTTCTTGTTTCATGGTGATGCAATACTTTTACTTACTTCCTCCCCATCCCTGCAAAGAAACAGTCACCATGGAGGATATAGTTAACTGCAAACTCATGAGATCCTGCAGTGTCATGAGACTGTGCATGGAAATAGAATTATCTTCTTGTATGTGTTGGATCTGTTCTGGAGGATTATTCACATGTAATTTGAATGTATATTTAATTCTGGTTGTTGGGTTTTAAAGAGAAGTCATCCCAAGTTGAGTAACCAAAAGAGAAGGGTTTGAGAGACCGTGTCACGTAAGGAATGATTAAAGGAACTAGCATTACTTAGTGCCATACCTTTTTGGGTGTTTTCCGCTGTGCTCTTTGATCACTGAAGAGGAGTCAAAGGAAGATTTCTCAGGGTATATTTATATAGACATCTGAATTCTGACAGTAATACTGGCCGCATGGGATGGATGTTTGAAGCATTCGTCTTGGAGGTTTCATCTTTTCTTTCTGATGTATATAGGCACAGGATGGAGTCCTATTTTGCAGAGCAGAGCTTCTGAAACTTGACCGTGTACCAGAATCATCTGGGCATCAGTGCAGATTCTGAGCCCCTAGATCTGGATGGGACCCAGGATTCTGCTTTTCTAACAGGCTGCCGAGTGGTTAAGGTACAGGTGGTCTGTCTTGGAGTTGCAACACTATGGAAGGATATGTTGAATCTCTAGCCCGGACCGTCAGCTGTGGAGAGTTGTTACATGGTGTTGTCTGATAAAAGGCATGTGATGTTATCATGTGCTTACTTTCTGAGCTCTGGTATTTTATGTGTGTATTATAGAACTTGGAACAGTGAGTGGTTCTGTTCTCCTTTTTGTCTTTTAGTAAAAAGACTCACAGTCCGGGTTAGAGATAACTTGCAATGCCAAGTTGTGGCCCACAGACCACCTGTACCTTAACCACTTGGCACAGTGTTTTTTACTAATTTTAGTAAATTTTGTAAAAAAAATTATGACCATATACAAGTTTGATTCCTGACCAATTGCTCTTTTTGATAAGAAATTCTATTATTTTCAAAAGTGGCAGTAATCCTGCAGTTTAAAAGGAGCCATCACTTCTCCTCTAAAGGGCGTATTCCTGTGTCCTCTATATTAAGCTGACCAGTAAACCAGAATGCATGGGGTGCTTGGTTTTGTGGGCCATTCCAGAGTGGGCCAAGAAGAGGTCTGCACTGTCAAACCCTGACTGATTCTACCAAGGGGCCTGAAGTGGTTTACAGAGGACAAAGGGGATAATTTGGATTTTCAGACAGTGAGGTGCTAATGGGCTATTAGTTGACTTGAACATATGATTGAGAATGAATTATTGGATCTAGAGGGTCGGGCAGGAGCATCATGAGAGATTGCTGGAAATACAGGAGAAAGAGTCTGAACAGATGTAAGTGGGGTAGGGGAAGAGTAGCTGGAATCATTGGTCAACATTTAGCAAATGGGAGTGTGACAGAGTTGTTACATGTGTAAGACCATGTGGACATCTGGACTGGCACTTTTTCTTACAGAGAACACTGCAAAGTGGCTGAGGAACGAGTGGTAGCAGCCACTGTGGAGGAAGGATGTCTCCCCTAGGACACCAGCCTCTGCTGAGAATCAGAGGTGTGGCTGAGCCCCTTGGGATTAGTCTCTGTGGGGAGTGTTTTATGAGGATAGCAGTGTGACTTCTGGCACTGGATGTTAGACACTGGCAGGGCGAGTAGGGGTAAATAAATGTCAGTGGGAACAGTGAGACTGAGCTTCGTTGAGTTTGTAATTGATTCCAGAAGTATTTATTCAGCTCTTGCTATATCAGGCATGTTTTAGGAGCTGGGATACAGTGGTGAACAAGAGTAGTGATTTCCTTGCCCCGTGGTTAAATGCCTAATTAAATAAGACAGCTATTGAGAAAATGGAAAGGAAGGTCTGTATTGGGTGTATGTATTTTGAGTTTGCTTGACCTCTAATGATAGAGTTGTATCTGGGCTGTTTTTTTTTTTTTTTTTTTTTTAAAGACTTGCTCTGTCACCCAGGCTGTAGTGTGCAGTGGCACGATCTCTGCACACGATCACTGCAAGCTCTGCCTCCCAGGTTCATGCCATTCTCCTGCCTCAGCCTCCAGAGTAGCTGGTACTACAGGCGCCCGCCACCACGCCCGGCTAATATTTTGTATTTTCTTTTAGTAGAGACAGGGTTTCACCGTGTTAGCCAGGATGGTCTCGATCTCCTGACCTTGTGATCTGCCTGCCTCGGTCTCCCAAAGTGCTGGGATTACAGGTGTGAGCCACCGCGCCCGGCCATATCTGGGCTGTTTTTTAGAGCGTTCAGTACTGGTTGATCCTGAATGAAGAATGATATAGCCACAGCAGAGTTAGCATTAAACTGGAAGGATATTTCTTCTGGCCTTCCTCTCCCCCATCTTGGATAGGTTGAGTGCAGGCACACCTTTGCTGTCTGCATCTGGGATTCTGCTAGAGGATTATAAGGTAAGGATGATTCACCATGACCCTACAGTTGAGAAAGGCAGCTTAATTGGGACTATTTGGAATTATTACCTACTGGTCTATCTCTTGTGAACAGCACTGAGTCAACTCATCTACTAGATTTGTGTCTTGCATCAGCATTGAGGGAGCAGGTGACAAGTCTCAACCAGCACTGTAGATTACAAAACACTTGTGTGTTGTGTGTGTTTTAAGTTTGAATTTTAATGTGTAGCATTTGAAACCCCATAATCTGGGTCATGGATTTGCTTCTCCTGTATTTAAAGTACTTCATAGGTGTAATGAAGCTGCTTGTGTCAGTAACTGAACCTTAAATGCGCTTCCTTTCTTGTAGTTTTCATCTCACATGGTTTATGTTTTAATTAGACATTAGTTGTAGGGGAATAATTCTCTCAACTGGAGCCTGAAGTCAGGATGAAGGCACCAGCCTGCACAGGATGCAATAAATCGTCATGGGAATTTTACATTGAAAGCTATTTTGGGGCCTTATAATTTATAAACTGTGTACATGTAGGAAATAATAGTTTATAATCTCACGTCATTGTTTGTTGTGGAGATTCGAACAGTGAGAATAGGAACCTGGTGGTGATGAAGAGAATTCTGTCTGACAGCCTTTATGAATAGACTGAGGCTGCTGAAGAGGTGGATTTCAGCCTAATAAGCATTAACTCCTCCTGCAGTTAACACTATCATTCAGTTGCAGCTAGTATATTAGGAGAGCTTTCTTGCAAACCCAGGGGAGTTGCTGTAAAGATTAATTCAGCTATATCATGCTTTTCATGTGTTGTGGTGTCAAGTCAGTTGCATTTTACTCAGGTTGGTATTTGGGTTCCTCCATTTTTCTGGTTTTTAATCATTTGATTGGGAAGGTCTCCAGTGACCTACACGCAGTAGCAGGTTAGAAATTGTGTTTCTCTTGTTAGGTTGGGGCAAGGTTTGCTGGCTTCTCTTAGCCTTCATGTCCGAACCCTGACCCCGTACCGTGGTCTGTGGATGTTTTGGCTGTCTTGGGAGAGCGGACAGGAAGACTGGATGTACCTCCTTCTTCTAGAGGCACTGCCCAGCAGTCGGAAATCTCAGCCTGGCAGGCTTCTGTGAGTGAAGGATGTGAAGGAGAAGGTGGAAATCCTAGTTCTCTCAGGACTTTCTTCCTCTTGCTGTAGAAGATGGAGAATTACTCTCATTCTAGGAAATCTGTGAAGCTTAACGAAAGTGCAGCTTAAGTTATTTAGGGCTTAGAGTCTCTATGATGTTGGATTTCTAAAATGAAGTTTGTATTTATGCAGAGTATAGGAACGTAAGTGCTGGAGGAGACGTCAGATCATCTAGACTTCTCATTGAGTCCCATGGAAGTTTTCTGTGATCCTTCAGTGTTAGGGAGGAAAAACCAATTCTTTTGTATAAACCAGTAAAACAGCACCAGACTGCCCATGAGATTTTCTGCCTTCTCCTTGAACAAAGGGAACCTGAATATCCAAAATACCCCAAATCATGATTTTACCTGGGATATTAATGTTATTATTATTATTATTTTTAGACAGAGTTTTGCTCTGTCTCCCAGGTGGGAGTGCAGTGGCGTGATCTTGGCTCACTGCAACCTCCGCCTCCCCAGGTTCAAGTGATTCTCATGCCTCAGCCTCCCCAGTAGCTGGGACTACAGGCGTGCACCACCACGCTCAGCTAATTTTTGTAGTTTTTTAGTAGAGACAGGGTTTCAACATGTTGGCCAGGTTGGTCTCAATCCCTTGTGATCCGTCCGCCTTGTCCTCTCAAAGTGCTGGGATTACAGGCATGAGCCACTGCGCCAAGCCGTTCTTCTTATTCTTTTAAGGCCCAAAGTATCTGTATGCTTCCATTTCTTATTTATTTATTTATTTTTTTTTTTGAGACTGAGTCTCACTCTGTCTCCCAGGCTGGAGTGAAGTGGCACGATCTCAGCTCACTGCCACCTTTCCCTCTAGGTTCAAGCAATTCTCGTGCCTCAGCCTCCTGAATAGCTGGGATTACAGTCGCGTGCCACCACGCCTGGCTAGTTTTTGTATTTTTAGTAGAGATGGGATTTCACCATGTTATTCAGGCTAGTCTTGAACTCCTGACCTCGTGATCTGCCCATCTTGGCCCCCAAAAGTGCTGGGATTACAGGCGTGAGGCACCATGCCAGGCCTGCTTCCATTTCTAAAATGAACTTTTATAAAATGCTTAATTAAGTCTGATGTAGGTGTGTGAACATAAGTCCTTCTTAGATTAACAGCTACAGAAGAGAACCTCTCAATATCCTTGGCCATGTGAATCATCATCTATTAATAAAAACTATAGTGACTTAATCTTGCTGATTCTTTAAACATGTATCTCTTCCTATTTACCTTGCTTTAGTGACTGTTGTCAACCATGTCTGTCTTCCCACCTCTTGCTCTGTCTCAAGTCTCTGTATAATTTTTTCTTCCCTCTTTAGTGCTTTTAAAATTTGAGTCTTTCTTTATATCTTTATGACTGGAATTGCTGGAATAGTCTCTGGGCTGGCTGTTTGTTTTTGGTCATCTCTGCATTCATTTTGTTAATTCTTAAGAACTTGTATTCGTTCTGGAGCAACAGACATGAGGTTGCCAGTTTGAAATGAGACCTTCAAGATCCATCATTAATGTGTACATTAAAACAAAAATCATGCCAGTTGTATGCCGCCAAGATCAGTTGCCTCCTTCTGCAGTACTCTCTCCTTTTATTTGTGATTCTTTTACTTAAGTGGCCAATGCGGATCCAATTCCATGTCTTCTGACTGGATTGTAAATTCCTTGAATGCACAGCACCCATATCTGCTGTATCCTTTGAGCTCCCAAGGGAGGCAGCAACATTTTTAAGAGCTCCGTACATATTTCTGTTGCAGTGTACATTCTGGCATTGCTCACTTTATAAAACTCAAGTAAAATGATCCATTATCCTTCTGGTTGTGGGTATAACAACACCTTTTTCTGAACTTTGTCAGGAATATAAAACTATTACTAGTTGATGAACGTATTTGATTTTGGGGCGTATAAAGAAGTGAGATGGTTGTGTGTTGCTTTCATTCTTTTTAACAGCCTGTGGATTCACTTTTCTTTGAGGCCTGTTCAGAAAGGTCATTGCCCCTTTACCTTATGGGTGTAATTCTGACATTGAGAACTGGGTCGTGGTCACACAGTACGTGTTCGGAAATTCCTTTAAAATAAAGTTTATTTTGACTCTGAATATTGCCTTGCTTTCTATTCAGTAACTCCTCTCTTTTCTTATGTTTCTTCAGGATGACAGTGATGGGATTCCGTGGTCAGAAGAACGGGTGGTACGTAAAGTCCTTTATTTGTCTCTGAAGGAGTTCAAGAATTCCCAGAAGAGGCAGCATGCGGAAGGCATTGCTGGGAGCCTGAAAACTGTGAATGGTGAGTTGACTCTTGGAATATCTCATTGGAATGTACAATATCTCTGGGCGTGGACTTGTTCCTGAATTGGATGTATTCTGGCAGCTTGTGCTTCCTGGTCTAGGCACCTAAAGGCAGTCTGTAGGCTAGGTGAATCTGCACTGCAGACATCCTGTTGGGTTTATAGGGTTGTTTTTGTGTTCCTTTATGTACCGCGTTATATAGTGGACAAAATACATTAGTCTGTTCTGTAGGTCCTGTCTTGCTGGTTTTTCTATATGTATGTCTTTCCACACTGGTATGTGAGCAGAACTCTTTGATGATCTTGCTGAAATGTGGAGTCTTTAGTTCTTGTCCCCGGGTTGTATAGGAAATAGCCTAAATCTTTCTGTCTACTGCTTTTCCTGCTCTCTGGCTCAGCGGCTTTCTCATCTCTCCTTCCTTCCTTGCTGGGCAGGTTCCTGCAGTGGGACAGCTTTGCATACCTCTAGAAGTGTGCTTCTTCCTGGATGATTATCACTTGGCTCCTTGATGCCTGGAAAGAAACTTGTTCCTATATGAGTTTGTTCTCATGTCTGTTTTGAACAGGGTTCATATGGTGCAGATGAAGTCATCCAACAGAAAGTATCTGAGGACAAACATTTGCTTGTAGTTTACTATTTTATTTCAGGGGAATGCAGTGACATTCTATAATCCCCTGTGTACTTATCAGGATTACAGTTAAAGTGAATGAATTGACCATGTTTTTGTTTATGCTTCCTTGGGGCAAGGAGATGAGAAAGAGCAGGTTCTGTTCTTTTTTGAGAGCTATGGCTCTGGTCTTAGGAGAGTCACCACATATGGGGTACTTGACAGTTTGTTAGGGTGCCAAAGGACAGGTTCACCATGGCTTCCAATTTGTTTCCCACCACCTTAGTTGTATGGTGAGTTGTCTGGCAGCCTCCTGTTGGAACTAGTGTTCACAGGCACTAGTGCACAGCAGTACCTGTTGCTGCTCTGTTTCTATGGGGCAATGGCAGAGTTTCCTGAGATGACCTCTCTGAACTTCACCATTCACCCTAGTTGTGCTGTCTCCTTCCACTGTTGCGTGACTTGAAAGAAGAGCCTCTGTCCACCCTCCCGGGTTTTCTTTCTTATGGGTGACTTGCCTTTGGAGGTCAACCATTAAGGCCATAGTGGCTCAGTCATGTGTGCGTCTCTCAACAAATCTCAGCCAACATGTATGGGAAAGGCCCATTTTGAGTCTTAACATTTGCAGAAAACAAAATAAGTTGTGGAATCTATTGCCATAGAATCCAATTTAGACCCTCATAGCTGCTTTCCTAAAAGGCACTCTGCCTTGTTCTGTGGGTCTCCAGCAGAGAGGGACCCTAGCCATTCGTTGCTTGTAATACAGTAAACTAAAAACCTTGTGTGTAGTTGGAGAACATTTGATGTGATATAGATCGTGTTTATTGTCATTGATTCACGTTGAACGTAGCATCTTGCTTGATTAAATGTGGGGGGTTGGGTATGAAGGAGAATATCACTTAATCCTAGAGTTTAGAGTGGAGCAGTGACTGCTGTACTGTTAGATTGTATGGTTGTGATGCTCTCACTGTACTGTTCAGGAATGGTGTAATGCCTTAGTGTTTCTTGGCATTGCCAACAGTGGAAACAAAAACACCCATATTTTCTTAACTGGGAAACACCAGCTTTTAGAACAAGAAGTTAGCCAGATGTTCAGGATTTAATAAAGGTAGAATTTGAGTAAATGAACAAAAACTAAAGTTTGTCATTCCAGAAGCAACCAGTGCTGTCAGCCAGTTGGCCAAATGTAGGTTTAGCTCTGGCAGAGTCAAGGGATTGATGATACTGAGGAGAAAAATCTCAGTTGGCAAAGATGCCCACATTGGGATCACTGAAGTCTTTTTATTTATTCTGGCACTACCTTCATAAGGGAAGGTTAGTTTTTGTCATGGTAGTTTGCTTTTCATCCAGATAAAGACTTTTAAGTCTTTTAAAAAATACAGAGACACCTCGGCTTCTCTTTGGGTTGTGAAATTGCTGTGAATATGCCATTTTCTAGTTTGTGTTGGTTTTTATGAAGGCAGCGTTCCAAGGTTACCTTTTTGTTATTCTGTATGTGGGATTTCTATAGCAGTTCTGAGTAAACAGATCTCCTTGTTTCAGGACTTGAGTGTGCTTTAAGAATCATTATTTTGCTTGGTGCGGTGGTTCATGCCTGTAATCCCAGCACCTTGAAAGGCCGAGGAGGGAGGATTGCTGGAGCCCAGGAGTTCGAGACCAGCTTGGGCAACAAACTACAACCCTGTCTTTCCAAATAATAGTAATAATAATAAATTAGCCAGGCATGGTGGCACATGCCTCTGGTCCCAGCTAGTCAAGAGGCTGAGACAGGAGGATCACTTGAACCCAGGAGGTCAAGGCTGCATTGAGCTATGTTCACACCACTGTATTCCAGCTTGGGCAACAGAGCGAGACTCTCTCTTTAAAAAATCATTATTTTCAAGGCAGCTACCATCTTAAACAAAGTGTACTTTCTTATTTTGGGGAGCTACTTGGAATCACTGGAAAACAGAATTGGTATCATGGGAAGAGCTCCTCTTCTGTAGGTGTTTTCGGAGCATGATCCAGAGAAAGCTCACACAGTAGGGAGCAACCAAGACTTTAGGGCTGGTGAGGCTAGGAGTAGGGGTTGTTGTAACTGCAAGCTGTGTTGTGCATATATATGTGGACGTGTCTGTGTGTCTTTGTGTATATATGCGTGTATGTATATGCATGCTTTGCTGAAAAATCCCTTTAGTTTGAGTGGATACTTTATAGTCAGCCATCACTCATGTCCTATCTCATAGAAACACTTCCTAAATGTCAAATGAAATCAGAAGATAGGTTAGTGGGAGTGGAAGCAGGGTGTATTAGTTTGTTTTCATACTGCTGATAAAGGCATATTGGAGACTGGGAAGAAAAAGTGGTTTAATTGGACTTACAGTTCCTCATGCCTGGGGAGGCCTCAGAGTCATGGAGGGAGGTGAAAAGCACCTGTTATATGGCAGTGGCAAGAGAAAATGAGATTTCGTGAGACTTACTCACTATCACAAGAATAGCACGGGAAAGGCCAGCCCCCATGATTCAATTACCTCCTCCTGGGTCCCTCCCACAACATGTGGGAATGCTGGGAGATACAATTCAAGTTGAGATTTGGGTGGGGACACAGCCAAACCATATCACAGCGGATTGACTATAATGGTGGTGGTTTTTTGTGAGCCTGTCACCCAGGCTGGAGTGTAATGGCATGATCTTGGCTCACTGCAACCCCCACCTCCCGGGTTCAAGCGATTATCCTGTCTCAGCCTCCCAAGTAGCTGCGATTACAGGCATGCACCACCACACCTGGGCAACAAATTGAGACCCTGTCTTTACAAATTATAGTAATAATAATAAATTAGCCAGGCATGGTGGCACTTTTTTTTTTTATCTTTAGTAGGGATGGGGTTTCACCATGTTGGCCATGCTGGTCTGAAACTCCTGACGTTGTGATCTACCTGCTTCGGCCTCCCAAAGTGCTGGGATTATGGGTGTGAGCCACCTGTCCCGAGCCAGGATGGATAAGTCCATGCAAGATGTATGTTTTTTTTTCAATTTTTTTTCTTCTTCTTTTTTTTTTTTCTTTGAGATGGAGTTTCCCTCTGTTGCCTGGCTGGAGTACAGTGGCGCTATCTCTGCTCACTGCAGCCTCTGCCTCCGGGTTCAAGTGATTGTCCTGCCTCAGCCCCCAGAGTAGCTGGGATTACAGACACGCGCCACCACACCCAGCTAATTTTTTTGTGTATTTTTAGTAGAGGCGGGGTTTCACCATGTTGACCAGGAAGGTCTCCATCCCTTGACCTTGTGATCCGCCCACCTCAGCCTCCCAAAGTGCTGGGATTACAGGGGTGAGCCACCCCACCCGGCCCTCAATTTTTAATTTTTTTTTTTTTTTTGGTTAGTTCCCAACCCAAAAGATTCCTTTTCAAATGTCAAAATGTTTCCACTGGTTCATTAATTTTTAATTGTCACAGAAATTTGTCTGGTGGTAGAGTTGTAAGATTGTCCAGTCCAGAGCCATTGCTAGGAGGTGACATATGCTGTGCAAGCAAGGATGAGAACATGTGCCTTAACCCCAGAGAAGGGTGGGTGGTGGTGGAGCTTCTGCCTCTGTGTCCTCTTTCATGCCTTCGAGGTTGGGGACAGTGACATGCCTCTGAGAGCCCTGGCACTCAGAGACTCTCAGAGATCTGTAAACTGAAAGACCCATCTAACTATGGGGCCTTTATGACTGTTAGATGTGGTAGTGACTTTCTTAAAGTCAAACAGGTATTTAATTCACAGTAGCAGAATTGGAATTGCAGCTCAAGTCCTGTAACTTTGAATCCAGTACTTTTTTGCAAGACAGAATGCATGAAAACTACATTGGATCTTTGCAATAGGAATATTGAAAAGAAGATGTTTTGTTTTTTCCCATTTCCAGCGTTGTTTCTGGATCTTTGATTATTGGAAAATATAAATGGATGATTGGAGGCTTTCCTGGGAAAAATCATTTGTTTTTACCATAATATTTAAAAATAACAGCAGAATGGATTTTACAGAATTTTTATCTAATTTGAAAATAAAATACATGTGACATCTCCTGAATCATTGGCATCCTGGTGTGATGAACAAGCAGCCCTTTGCCCTTCATCTGTGTGAAGGGGGTCGGGTATCTGATGCCTGGGAACAGTGTGTGGACACTGCAGCTTGTATCTGAGCAGTGAGCTCAGCTGCCCTGGTTCTGTAGGTCTGTGAGTAGTAATAACCTAAGCAGACATAAGATAGTGGAGACACGTCGTTTTTCATGTCATAAAATCCATGTTTGCTATCAGTCTTGTTTTTGTGGTTTTACAGTGACAAGGAATGAATTTTTTTTTTTTTGGCCCTACTATTGGTAGGATATGTGAGTTTTGAACAGCCTCATGAGTTGTCTGTGTAGCAACTGATGCCATCGTTACAGCTTGTTGGTTATTGCTGGGCTTAAGCGTGAAGTGGTAAGATTTGCTGATTGTGAGCCTTCTGTCTACTTTTTGTTGTAGATAATGCCACTTTTCATGGATGTAATAAATTGACAAAAGCTTTGGAAAGGACTGGCAGAGGCTGAGACCTTGGCCACTCTTTGAGGGCCCTTGGCCTGCTGAGGCTAAAATTAGGGACATTTAAATAATAACATGCTACACAAATAATGAGTACACAGAATTACACAGTCAGAGAGGGAAGCTATTAACTGTATTTGAATTTCATTTGCTTCCTATAAATGTCATCTTAGATCAAGTCCTTTGGCCAGCAAAACACTCTTGATGAGATTTAAGGGACCCTGGATTCATTTCCTTAAACTTACCCCGGGCAGTAGTTGTGATGGCTAGCCTACCTTGAGTTCTCACTATTTGCCAGTTATTGTTCTAGTACTTTAGCTGTATTTAACTCATTTAATCTTCAGAACAAGCAATTTTATAGGTGAGGAAACTATATACTAAGAGTGGATTAGCAATTTGCCTACCCAGCTATTAAGTGGAAGCATGAGGATATAAGACCAGGCCTTTTGGATCAGACCTCCCATGCTTTCTGGATTAGAGCTCCCAAGCTTGTAGCCACCACTTAGATAAGGAGAGGTAATTTTGGAGCCTTTCATAAAGATAGCATTCCAAAAATAAGAATTTGTAGGAAGACTTTACTTTTTTTAAGTAGGTATTTATTTGGAAGGAGGTAAGTGGATTTTTTTTTTTTTTGGTCGGGGGCCGGGGGTGAGGGGATGGAGTCTTGCTTGCTCTGTTGCCCAGGCTGGAGTGTAATGGCGCAATCTCTGCCCACTGCAACCTCAGCCTCCTGGGTTCAAGTGATTCTCCCACCTCAGTCTCCCGAGTAGCTGGGATTACAGGCATGTGCCACCATGCCTGGCTAACTTTTATATTTTAGTAGAGAGAGGGTTTCACCATGTTGGCCAGGCTGGTCTCAAACTCCTGACCTGAGGTGATCTGCCCACGTCGGCTTCCCCAAGTGCTGAGATTACAAGCGTGAGCCACCGTGCCTGGCCGTCAGTAAGTGAATTTTTTATTGGGAAAAAGAACCTTGGAAGGCATGGTAAGTATTTATTGACTGTGTTTCTGGGCTTTATTTATGATTTGTAATTGAATTGATAGAGGGTATCAAAAATGTAGACTGTGAATTGGTTTCCTCCTCTCTTCAGTCAGACACACAGATGCATCCGTTAGTTTCCATTTCCTCACTTAGAGTTTTGTGTTTTTAATGCTGTTGTCGTTCTGGCTGGCTGGAACTCACTGGACGGATGGTGCATGGATGTTTTGGCAACAGCTGCCAATTTGTAGCCAAGGACCAGTATTGGAAGCGCAGATGTGGGACATTGTGTAGCCAACACCCCCCAAGCCCCCTTTAAGAAATATAATTTTGAACTCCTTTCAGAATCTTTCAGTCATTTCCAAAGATTCTTGATGTGTGTGGAATGAAATGTGGGCCCGACTGTGAATTCATTGTTAACAAAATATGTTCACACAAGTCATAAAAACGTATTTGTGAATCAAAATAAAAAAATGTCAGGTCACATGGTCTGATTTACGTAAGTTTATTTGTGGGCCATATTTGAAATGAATGTCTGGGGTATAAAGTGACCTTCCTCTACGAAGGGGAACACCTGTCCCTTCTGTTTTTGCTGGAAACTTTCAGGTCTAGCTGTACTAGAGATGGTGCCTACTTTATCATTATCATTTATTATTATTTATTATTATTATTTTCTTCTGAAGACAGTGGCTTATGGGCCGGGCGCGGTGGCTCACACCTGTAATCCCAGCACTTTGGGGGGCCGAGGCGGGTGGATCACGAGGTCAGGAGATTGAGACCATCCTGGCTAACATGGTGAAACCCTGTCTCTACTAAAAATACAAAAAAAAAAAATTAGCCGGGCGTGGTGGCGGGTGCCTGTAGGCTGAGGCAGGAGAATGGCGTGAACCTGGGATGCGGAGCTTGCAGTGAGCCAGATCGTGCCACTGCAATCCAGCTGGGGCGACAGAGGGAGACTCCTGTCTCAAAAAAAAAAAAAAAAAAAAAAGTGGCTTATGCTTCAGCTTTACCGAAGTGTTGATGTCTGTGTGCTAGTCTCCTCCTCTGCAAGCTGTAGGGAGACCAGTTGCAGCTTGAGTTTTCTCTAACACTCCTGTGTCCTGGCCTCCAGACTTTTTTCTTTCCCTCTCCTGTTTCCCCTGATGTGAGGACACACTCTGCATGAAAGAAAGCTGGGTGAAATGAAGGGCTTCAATGTTGTTGAAAACAACTTATTTTTTGTTTACAAAGGAAGCTACATTTGTTGTGGAAAGGCGAGAAGGCTTGGGCTCTTTGTCTTTCAGCTGCTTTTTTGATGTAGTGATGTAGGTGGGGCATTTCTCAGATTTTCATTTTGTAAGTGTTGGAGTTTTTATTATGTGGGAGGCATTGTGGGTATAAAAACTGAGATCAAGTTGCTTACTTTGGTCAAGTCCTAATACCTTATTTCATCCCTTCTAAGATGTCATTGAGTGATGCACCATTATGTTATGTATCAGTAAGCAAGAACAAAACAGTGCTTCCAATGATGAATGTGGGACAGCTTAATTATGAGATGCATGTTTTAACATGAGAAAAATAGATGCAACTTAAAATCTGTGAAGCAGGATAAAATACTGTAGGATAAATGCTTTAACAACCAAATGGGGCTGGGTACTGTGGCTCACGCCTGTAATCCCAGCACTTTGGGAGGCCGAGGCGGGCGGATCATGAGCCTGGCCAACATAGTGAAACCCCGTCTCCACTAAAAATACAAAAATTAGCCAGTCATGGTGGCGCACGCCTGTACTCCCAGCTACTCAGGAGGTTGAAGCAGGAGAATTGCTGGAACCCAGGAGGCAGAGGTTGTGGTGAGCCAAGATCGCACCACTGCACTCCAGCCTAGGCAACAGAGTGAGACTTTCTCAAAAAACAGAACCAAAAACCCCAAACGAGTGTATGGGTGAGTGCAGGAGGCTAGCAGGGAGGCAGATGATGTCAGAGACCCAGTCCTAAGATACAGGAAACGTTGTATATCCATGAGCCTTGCAAAGGGGTCTTGAAAGATGCGAGAGATTTCTGAGCAAGACCTTGGGGTGGCAGGGGTCAGCAAATATTTGACTGGTCTGTTGGTGTCATAATCTAGTGGGACAAATGGCTGCAATGGCCGGTTTCCGTGGCCAAGTCACTTGTACTGGTCTGATGCCAAAGGAGTGGTGTGCAAAATTAAGGACTGCTAGAGCAGGAAGAGTCTTTTTAGAGGTATATAGGTCAAACTCATCATTTTACAGATGAGGAATTTTGAGCCTTGATGAGAAACTTAACTGGAAGGAATGGATCATGCTGAAGCCTGATTGGAACCAGAAATCCAATTTAAGTGACAGTGAGGCGCCACGCTTCCTAGTAGGCATGGCTGCTTGCACGCATTTCCTGGAGCGTTAAGAATGGAGGTGCCTGAGGAGGTTAATGTGCTCCTCTTTCGGGTCACTTTGTGCTTGACACCCACTGCCCCTCTCTTTCTCTCTGCCCGCCTCCTTTGTCAGTTCTGTGAGCTGGGCTCTGTTTCCCTGATTACATCATCATTCCCATCCAATCCTGGACGACTTTAGGAGGGACACAGCACTCAGGTAGTGTCACCTGGGTAGTGGAGTCTGTATGTGTAGGGCTATAGGGCGGAGGAGGTGGTCTGTGTAGGGAGACAGAAGGGAGGGAGAGCAGTCTGAGCTCTAGTTGGGCCTGTTTGCTACAGCCTATTTGCTTTTGCCAGTTTTTATAGGAGTTCAGTTTCAAAGAAGTGGGGAAGGCAAATGGATGGAAATTTGTTGTAGTCTAGAATTTTTTTTTTTTTCTTTGAAACAGGGTCTTGCATGTTGCCCAGGCTGGCCTCAAACCCCTGGGCTTAAGCAGTCTTCCCACCTCACCTTCTGAGACACTGGGACTACTGGCATGTATCATCATGCCCAGGTTGGGATTTTTTTTTTTTTTTAAGCTGAAGCTCTTTCTATAAGGGTCTCTCTAGTTTCTTTGCGGATGAAATTAATAACTCCCCCTCCATGACATCACACTGGAAATTATCCCTCCTTCATCATTTACCTCTCTTTACTGGTTCATTCCCACCATTGTAGAAACATGTTCTTATTTTTCCCATAATAAAGTAAAGCCTCCCTTGTTCTTGCATCTCCTGCCTGCTGTATCTTTCTCTTAGTTTATAGCAAAATCCCCCATAAGAAAATGTCTAAAAGGTTTGTCTCCATGCCCTTCTATTTATATTCATATTAATATCCCCCAGCCTTCCTTTGCCATTCACCTTTAAACCCCTCACGTTGGGCCACTTATCAAGGTCAGTAATGATTGCCCAAGCCACATTTCCATTATTCTGGGGTGTAATTGCCCATTTAGCAGCATTTACCGTGATTGAACATCTCCTGAACACCACCTGCCTGCTTGACTGCTGCATTTTGATTTTATTATTTTATTTTTTGAGATGGAGTTTCGCTCTTGTCCAGGCTGGAGTGCAATGGCACGACCTTGGCTCACTGCACCCTCCGCCTCTCAGGTTCAAGCAATTCTCCTGCCTCAGCCTCCTGAGTAGCTGGGATTACAGGCATGCGCCAAGACGCCCGGCTAATTTTGTATTTTTAGTAGAGATGGAGTTTCTCCGTGTTGGTCAGGCTGGTCTCGAACTCCTGACCCCAGGTAATCTGCTTGCCTCTGCCTCCCAAAGTGCTGGGATTATAGGCGTGAGCCACCGTGCCCAACCTATTTTTTTATTTTTATTTTTTAGAGATAGGATTTTCTTCTGTGGGCCAGGCCCAAGTGCACTGGGTCGACCACAGCTCATTGCAGCCTCGACTCTCAGGCTCATACCTTAGCCTCCTGAGTAGCTTGGACCACAGGTGGGTGCCACCACGCCCGGCTAATTTTTAAATTATTTGTAGAGATGGGGTCTCCCTGTGTTGTCCAGGGTGATCTTGAACTCCTGGGCTTAGCTGTTCCTTCGAAAGTCAAGTTTAAGCCACTGTGCCTGGCCCACTTTGATTTTTTTTTTTTTTTTTGGATAGGCCTCATGAAGTTAAGATGTCCCAAAGCCAACTATCTGTGAGGTCTCTCATCTGCTTCTGTTGTCCGCTTGCCCCTTCTTCCCTTTTTCAATAAGTGGCAGTTCCTTTGTTCTAGTTTTGGTGGCCAAAACCTTGGAGTCATCTGTTACTTCTTTTTTCAGATTTTTGCATTTAGCTTTAGCTAACCTGTTTTACTATTTATTTATTTATTTAGAGACAGTGTCTTGCTATGTTGCCTAGGCTGGAGTGCAGTGGGGGCTATCACATCTCACTGCAGCCTGGGCTCCTTCCCCATTTAACATCCCGCCCCAACCCCCCGAACTCAAGTTGCTGGGACTTCAGGCATGTGCCATCATGTCCAGCAAATAGACACAGTGTTGCCCATGCTGGTCTCGAACTGCCGGGCTTAAGTGATCCTCTTTCCTGCCTTGGCCTCCCAGAGTGTTAGAATTACAGGTGTGAGCCACTTCACTAGTCCTTAGTGAACCTGTTTGAAACTCACAGTACCTTTTGATTCTGAACTTGTACTACTGCTCCTGTTCCACGTTGTCATACTTTCTAGCTTAGGTTATGTTGCAGCCTCCCTGTGCTCGCTCAGCTTCTGCCTTTGTATTCCTCCTGGCAGCAGCCAGCATAAACCTTTAAAAATGCAAATGAGGCTGTGCTATGCTCTGTTCTGATTCTGGCATATCTGCCTATGCTCTTAATGTGAAAGCGAAATATCCTCATGGCTGGCCACTTGATTGGGCCCCCGTATCACTCTGTTCTCATTGTCTCTGTCCCTCTTCCTGGTATTTTAAATACACAAAGCATACTCTGTTTAGCTCTAGCTGATCCTTCTATTGAGAATTCTCTCCCTTCTGGTATCTATGTGACTTGATCTCTCTGTATGTTTCAGGTTCCCCTTTAAGTGCCCCCATACCCTGGAATGTTCCTTGAACATTCTAGTAAAAAGGGTACCTGCCTCTGTTACTCCTTAGCGCTTTACCTTATGAAGTCTGTCTGCACAGCATTTCTCACTGCCTGACATTGTAGTACTGTGAGGGAGGGACATGTGCGTGCGTTTATTCTAATTTATTTATTTATATAGATTTTTTAATAGATTTTTTAAGATATAGTTTTTTATAGATATTATTTTATAGATATTTATTATTTATATAGATAATTATCTAATGTGTCTAGCCACATTAGATTGTAAGCGCTTTGAGAGGAAAATTCATTTGTGTTGACTGCTGCTTTTCCCTGTGCCTGGGATCTCCGAAGTCTGTGTTGTGTGAATGAGCATGCAGACGGCTCAGTGGCCCACCTGCATGCCACCCACGTCTCTGCCGCCCCCTTTCCAGCACCTCTTGTTGCCATGCTGTGGATGTGCCACTCTCTGTTCAGGGGACTGAGAGTCTGCCAACTGGGACTCCAGATTTCATTTTAGAAATGCTCACACCGTGACACCCTAGGCCCCCAGATGTCAGCTCATCTTATTTTCCCCATTGCCAGAGGGAATGTGCATTCATAATTGTGTGATATGTCTCACTATCATAGAGATTCTTGGAATAGGGTCAGCCTTGTGTCCTTTCTTTCTGAACCACATTCATCGCATCCCTGTTTAGGTACAAGGTATGTTGCTTGGTGGTTTAAATTACAATTGGGCTTTTAAGAAAAAGTAAAAAAATTATGTCTCTTAATTCTCAATTGATGATTTTTGTACTTTTACTAATATTTTTGGGGTTAATTTAATGGGCCTTAGGTGTTAAGCAGCTTGTACAAGGCCACCTAGCAGAGAAGTGGTCAAATCAGGGTTTGAGCCCAGGTCTTCTGACTCCAGATAGCTATCTCTCCCTCTCCCCCACCCCTCTCCCTCTCCCTGTTCTTCTCCCCCTTCCTTTCCCCCTCTCTCTCCCTCTCTCTACTTCTGTGTGGGTGTGTGTGTATGTGTGTGTTTAAACTAAGGAAAGCCTGTGAAACCACATATCTCCAGTATGTCTTGTTGTGACAAGTGTACACATATAACCAAGTGAGCAACACTCCAGTGTAGATAAAATACCTTCCTATCACGCTGAAAAGGTTCCTCCTTCTCCCTTCAGTACAGTTGACATGTTTGTTTGTTTGTTTGTTTAGAGACAGAGTCTTGGTCTGCCACCCAGGCTGGAGGGCGTTATAACCTCAAGATCTGGCCTCAGGTGATCCCCCCTCCTACTGGCATTACAGGCGTGAGCCACTTCGCCTGGCCGGTTGAGTTCTTTAAATGTATTTGCTCATTGTGGAGTTCCTCAACACCACTGCCTGTATTTTTAAGAGCTGTTATGCTTATCGATGGGTTTATGATGTTTGTCCAGAATGTGCCGAATGTCTGAGAGTGTTGGGGACTGAAAGTGCCTCAAGGCCAGAGGCCCATGTGCATCCCCTTAGCAGCTCCAGAAGTGGCTTATGTAGGCACAGTGTTGGAATAAGAACCCTGCGATTGGAAAGATGATGACATTCTCAGAGTCAGACTGTCTCTTAAACTGGCATCATGGTTTTTGTTCTGAACTGTTGTGTAAACTCAGAGCAGATGGGCTTTGGAGGAGGCTTCATTCTGACTGTCTTCAGTGTCACCTTTCTCGTATAGCACATTAGCCACCACTGTTTTTAATCTGTGAGTATTCGGAATACTCAGCCTGGGTGTGTATTAATGTTAATAATTAAAAATTCTGGAGCTAGGGTCCCAGACTTGGCTTTTTTCCCCAGAGGCACTCTATAGAGACATCTGTAGGTCATGTCTTTTGCTAGTGCGGTGTCTTTAGTTAGACTGAATCCTGTGAGGAGCCCATGATCTCCTTGTCGCCCTTGAGGATGCCAAGACAGTGTGCGTGTGCCTGTGGTGGGATAGGATTGCTAATCATATTCTTGCGGCTGTGGTGAAAGTCTGTATATTAGTCAGCTCAGGCTGCCATAATAAATTACCTTAGACTGGGCTGCTGATATAATAGAAATTTCCATTTCTCACAGTTCTGGTGTCTGTAAGTCCAAGATCAAGGTGCAGGCCAGCTGGGTTCCTGTTGAGTGCCCTCTTCTTGGCTGGTTCCTCTGAGTCTTCCTCCTCATGCGAGGACTCCAGCCCTCTCAGGTCAGAGCCCTGTGCCCCTATGACCTTATTTACCCTCGATCACCTTCTCATGGACCTTAGGGGTTAGAGCTTCAACAGAAGACTTTGTGGGGAGTACATTACAGTCTCTGCAGGCCTTGGACATGGTGACAATTTTATTCCAGTCTAACTGTAGATTAAATTAAACTCCATGTTAATCTGCAGCATGTTTTCTTTCTTGCTTGTGTGATACTAGAACATTTTCCTGGTAAGTCAGGAAACCCTTAGAGCTGTTTGACCTTTGAGAAGCCTGGATGGAGTAACTGCTTTTGACAGGGGGATGGCAGTTGTGATGGTCCTGGGAGGATGTTTCTGTTGTCATAGATTATTTGGGGAAGCATTGTGGAATTATTTGAGGACTTCTGAGGTCGAGGGAATCCTATCTGTTTAACAGTAATTCATCTTATCTACCTTTTGTGACTCCCAGCCATTTTTTATTCTTGACGTGTAATAGAATAGAAAGACCCTGCAGGGTCACCAGATAGGGCTTCCTACAGCCAGAGGTGACTTGTTTGTGAATAGGATTTATTGACGTTCTTTCTTATAGAGTGATATTGTTCCCTGCTAGAGAAAGGCTTCATGTGTTTTCTAAATCTTCGAATTCTGTGATATGTGTATTTAAGTAGCTTTAATTACTATCAGATTTATTGTAATGGACTAGGGTAGTTTTGCTGTGCTTGTGAATGTCTTAGATCTGATTTCCCTCAAATTTAGAGGGCCCTTTACTTAGCTTTTGGAAATAACCTGTTATTACTTGAGCCACTTTAAATGTTTAGAGTCCTGTATGGTATATCTTTAAAAGCCAGAAGAGTGATTACTAGATATGCTTCTGGGAAATTACCCTACAGTTCATAAATCCCTTAATTTACAATTTGATTTTTAAGCTCACCTGCTGCCAAATCTCATCTATCCTTTTAGCTTCCTCTATAGGCTTTAAAATGTTTCTGTAGAGTCCCAGATTTAGCTTCTTCATAATTTCTTTCCCAAGGATGATAAAAACAGTACAAGTCTATCGTTCAAGGAGGTGTGGGGATGAGGAGAGAAACATGAGCTATTTTATAATATATTATAAAATATATATATATAATTTTTCTACAACAAACTATAATATAAAATATATAAATATTTTATAATATTTTATATTCGCCAGTGACATCCCATTCTTGATTATAAACCGGCAAGGCCAAACCTGTACCCTGCCATTGACATCCAAGGAGAGCTGTCTCTTGTGTTTCATGGTAACTTATGCCCCGCATGCTTTCAGACCCCGTAGCTTCTCTCCCTGACCTGTTACTAGTGTTCTTGCTTCATTTATGCTTTGGAGCTAATGGCTGGTTCAGCTCTTTCTGTGTATACACAGAAAGGTTGTCTTCCTGTGTGATCTGCCCTGCCCTTGTCATCTGGGTAATCCTTAACTGAGTCCCTGTTTTCTTTCTGCAGTTAGGTGGGTGCCTGTTCATGCTTGGTACTGCCATCTTGGTGACGGGGAAGGCCACGTGTGGAGGCTCCCAGGCTAGCTTCTGGTGGTCTCTGAAGTGGTAGTCTGCTTTTAGCTTTCCATGGCTCTCAAAGTTATGCTGCCATGTGTTACATGAAGGCAGTCCAAGGTCTCCATTTTGCAATCATTTAACTGTCTTTTATATTTAATCAATTTATTTAACTGTTTGTTTTTATTTTTTCTGTTGCCCAGGCTGTAGTGCAGTGACACGATCTCAGCTCACTGCAGCTTGCGTGCACCGCCCCCAGCAACCCTCCCACCTCAGCCGCCTGAGTGGATGGGACTATAGGCACGTGTCACCGCCTGGATGATTTTTAAATGTTTTGGTAGAGATGGGGTGTCACTGTATTGCCCAGGCTGGAACACTGTTATTTTTGATAGTCTGCTTCCATCCCATGTGATTGGGGTTTTCACCAAGGGACCCATGCTTTTGAATGCTTATTTGAAAAATAGCATCTTGCCTCCTTTGAGAGTGAATTTAGAAGAATGCATCTAGAGTGATCTGTTCCCTAGGGGCTCCCCCAGCAGTGTACCCTCCATGAGATGACTTTGTTCCTAGTGTCATTTGAAAGGGCCTTCCAGTTTGCTCAGTTGGAAAGTGTTACAGAGTTTTAAAGGGTGAGCTGGAAGGCTCTCAGCTGGCACTTTCTGAATCCCTCTGAGGAAAATGTTGGCAAACTCTTCACTCTGCCTGAACTCTTTTTATAAATGGAGAAGCCAGGAGTTGGGAAACTACCACACAAAGTGAGGTCGAACCCTCTGTGGAAACGTGTCATTATCCTAGCTAAGACAGTGGACTATTTTATGGTAATATGATGGTATGGACCCCCTCCCACCCTTTGATGTTTTGATGTTTCAGAGAGCCCTTCAGTTCATCTTCCTGCTACCAAAAATAGAAGTGTGTAGTGCAGCAATTTACAGTGTATTTCTATTTTTAACTGGAGAGACTTTTTTCCTAGAGATGCACATGGCTTTTAGTTTCCTTCTTTGACAACTTAAATGAGGAGGGCGGTGCTTGAGTGCTTTATTCAACAGGTGTCCCACCTTCTAAGGAAAGTCCACTTTTTTCACCCCCTGCCTCCTGCCCTTCCCTGTTTCAGAGAACAAGTTTCCACAGTAAGGAGGAGGAACTTGCCTTTGATTTATTCTCATATTTGTTGTCATCTGTCCACTTGCATTTCAGTCTGATGAGAAACCCAATGTGAGTGCGCCATGGAGCTCGAGAGGTTTCCATGCTCCTGAGCTGTCTGACTGCAGAGCCTATAGCCACTTCTGCCTAGTCCCCAGAGAAGCCTAGATATGGAGAAGAACCCAACAGTGCTTGTTGGTGTGGGGTTCTCTATCCGTTCATCGCCGCACTGCCGCACACTCAGGTCAAGCAGGGACGTCCTTCTTAGCTCTGTCCACGTTGTGCAGCCCATGCTTGGTGCTTCTAGCCTTCTGGGGTCTCCCTTTATGGACGAATTCCAAGGGAATAGGTTAAGATTGCCATCAAGTGGCTGTTCTTGGTAGTGGATGTTGACATCCCTGCTGGCCGATTTCTTAGCCCCTCTGTGAGAAACTCTGTGCAAGGGATTGCCTGTCCTTTTGTGGGGGTAGGCAGTTGTTGACAGAGCTCAGGTCATCTCTGGGAACGCAAGCTGGGCCTTCTCATGTGTGCTCTGTAAAACTGAAGGAAGACTGGGTTGTCCTTGGATCCATGAATACAGACCATCAGAGATTTCCTGGAGAGAATGGCTGGGCATCTACCCTCCTGCCAGCTCAGGTCCAGTAGGCCGCAGTCCTCCAGCTCTGCTAGTGGAAATTGTTGAAGGATCACACTGTCATCCCTGTAAGTATGTCCCAGGGTCCCACCAAGGGTTCAGAAAACCGACAAACTTGATACCACCATCTGTTTGGTTTGTTGTTTTCCGTCTCAGAAAATGGGATACTAATTTTTTTTCCTCAGAGGTGGTATTCTTACGATGAATGCAGTTGATTTATTTCAGGTTCTTAGTGCCTGGAAGAATGTAAACATTTAAAAGGGCGATCATTATTGAGGTTGTAGATATACAGTACCCCGTGACTTCCTATTTGTGCTGTAGCTTTGTCATGAAGCAGGACACCTAAGGGACGGTTTTCAAGTTGGTTTGCCCCCTTCTAGGTTCTGAATGCCAATGTCTTGTAATCAGGCCTCACCCTAGGGCTTGGCGAGCTGAGACTGCTGCGGCCCTGACAAGCATGGAAGGAAGGATTGCCTCTCTAGTTTTCCCCAGCAAGGCATCCTCAGTGGTGTTGGTGAAAGCTGCCCTGTAGGCGTAGTCGGTGTTAGGTTTGTATAGGAGGGGTACCCCACAGACTATTGGGTTCTGAAGTCTCTGAGGAGCCCTAGCAGAGAGTTTCAGAGCCAGCATGTGGCATGTAATGGAGGCTAGATCTGTGCCAGCTGGGTCAGTGGGGAGGCCTGAGACAGACAGAGGGGAGAAAGTGACTGTGGGAGAGCATCCGATGGGAACAAGCTCTAAGTTAGGGTCAACAAAAGAAAATTCTTAAGGCCTATCTATTTTAGGCAGCTTTTTAGAAATGATAAAGGCTGTGTTATGCAACCATTCACTTTGCAATCTGTCAAATCATATTAAACCAGAATTCCTGGACTGTAGCCATCTCAAGCAATATTGAATGCATCAAAAATTTGATATGTTGGAATGGGCACTGACATTGGATCGTAATTCTTGTTCTACCAGTAACTGGGTGTCTAGGAGCAAGGCATGCCTTCACTGGCATCCTCCTTATGTAAAACAAAACACTAGATCTCTTTGTCTCATTTGGTTTTGTTTCAGTGGTGAGTGGCTTTGGGGTGTTGAAGGCATGCTCCTGCTCTCCCACTTTGGTGGCTCTATCATGCTTTTGGGTCAGGGAAGCATTTGGATGCTTTTGCAGAATGTGGAGGGAAGCGAATGAGAAGTATTCTGGAGGAAATGTGCCCTTCATGGCTACTGACCCTGTCCTTTGGTGTGTGAAGGCACCAGTGCAGTGATCCCAGAGTGGTGTGTGTGTGTGTGTGTGTGTGTGTGTGTGTGTGTGTGCGTGTCTGGAGGTGGCAAAATGTGAGTCCAACTTGGCCTAGGTTTTAGTGCCACTTTGTCCAGAGTATTAGTTGATGATTGCTGTCCTTCCTTTACTGTCAAGCCACGTTAAGGTGGCCTAAAACCATTTCTAATAAAAATCACCCTTTGGGATATTCGTTTGTATACGAAGTTTTCCTTACAGTTTTTAGTTTTCTGAATAAGCCTGGGGCTCTTTAACAGTTCCAATCTCTATTTCCCCTTCTCCCCTCCCCTACAAGCTAGACTGATTACCACCTCGAGCCATCTGCTGCTAAATTTAAGGTGATTTGTCAGCCTGCTGCTGCATTTGCCCCCTGAAAAGGATTCACCTTCTGTCCGACTTGCCCTGTTTATGGGGGAGGTGGTGAGGAGGGGGTTCTAAGCTTGTAACAGGGGACGACAGAGGGATGAGGGACTGCTGCAGACATGTTGGTCAGCATGGTCAGCAGTATAGGTCATTGCTACCCATTAGAACTGTGTGTGATGTTGGAAACGTTCTGTGTCTGTGCTGTCCTATATAGTAGCCACTAGCTACCTGTGATGCTTGAACTTTTGGAGCTTTGCTGTTGTGATTAAGAGACTTTTTTTTTTTTTTTTTTTGAGTCAGGGTTTCGCTTTGTTGCCCAGGCTGCTGGAGTGTAGTGGTGCGGTCTTCGCTCATTGTAACCTCCACCTCCCAGGTTCAAGTAATTCTCATGCCTCATCCTCCCAGGTAGCGGGGGTTACAGGCGCCCACCATCATGACTGGCTAATTTTTGTATTTTTAGTAGAGATGGGGTTTCACCATGTTGGCCAGACTGGTCTCGAACTCCTGACCTCAAGTGATCTGCCAACCTCTGCCTCCCAAAGTGCTGGGATTGTAGGCGTGAGCCACCATGCCTGGCCAAGAGACTGAATTTTGTGTTTGATTTAGTTAATGTAAAATTAAAAAGCCATGCGTGGATAGAGGCTATCAGTGCAGCCATAGAGGCAGGATACGCATGAAATGGTGGTGAAATTCTTCCTGTGTATCCCTATGCTCTGTTCTTGCTTTTGGCAGGAAGTCTTTCTGGGTATTCTTTCAGCTATCCTCATGGTGTGTTATGTAGACAATTCTGACAAAGTTAAAAAAATTGATATTTTACTCAAATGCCTTTTAGTCTTTTGGGCAATGTTAGAATATGTTTGCCCATGGTATCTGTGCCACTATAATGAGAAGATAATAAACTACAGCCTAGCAATTTATTGCTGAGTTCAAAATTATCTTTGTCTACCTTTGTCATTTACCTTATGTAGGTTTTCCCTTAGCTCCACGTAAATAATGTTGGTAGCTCCATCTCATTTCCATCATTGAGTAATTCTCTTGTGATTGACTCTACTTCTGTGCTGTTGACACAGCCAGTTTCCCTGTGATACCATGTAAATTTTAAAATTGCCTTTCACCATATTACTAAAGAAAGTCATCTGAATTGTGGAAAAATTCAAGATTTCAGAAAACTGTAAAAGATTGCCACTGGAGAGAATACCATAAATGATGTTCCATATTTATCGTTGCAGCACTTGGGTTATTTCTGGTCTTCTCCATGATGTATGAAGCTTTTAAGGAAAATGCCAGGAAGAATATACACGAAATTGTTAACAGTGATTACTGGTATATTGGGACTTGGATGATTTCACTGCGTAAATAAGAGGAGGAGGATTCTAGGTAGTTTTGACATTTATTTAAATGTTTAGTAACAGAATGAGGTTACGTTAGCAGGATATAAAAGGCACATATTTTGAGAAAGACGCAAAACTGCTTTAGTTACAGAAACAAAATCAGCCTCCAAACAAAAAAACAAAAACTGTAAAATTGTAATTAATAAAGGCCCAAGTATCTAGAAAACATCGTATGTCTAGATTTCTGCTTGTTAAATTCAGTGCTCGTGAAATTATATTTCATCTGAAAATCTGAAGATGAGGTCTTCTACTTCCGAGGAATTTCTCATTTTAATCAGTGAGTGCTGAGATCTCATAATTTATTGTAAAGTATATGAGCTATGTCTAGTCTAATAATTTCAAACATAAAGAGAGTTCTTTGACACATTTGCCTTTCCCAGAGAATGTTGAATGTTAGGTGCTTTGTATGTAGGGTGGGACTTCCCAGATAAGAGCACCTCAGGCTTACGCAGCCCTGGATTGGCCTTGAGACACAGCTTACTCTTTGACAGCATAAATGCAATGCAGCATTGGAGGGTTATTGAGATGAGCAAGGCGAATGCAGTGGCTCATGCTCATAATCCCAGCACTTTGTGCGGCTGGGGTGCCTCGGGAGGATCGCTTCAGGCCTGGGCAGCTTGGCGAAACACCATCTTCACAAAAAATATAAAAAATTAGCTGGGTGTGGTGGCGCCTACCTGTAGTACAGCTACTTGGGAGGTTGAGGTGGGAGGATTGGTTGAGCCCGGAAGGTCGACGCTGTAGTGAACCTAGATTGCGCTACTTGACTGCAGCGTGGGACACAGAGCAAGACCCTGTCTCAAAGCAAAACAAAAGATGAACAAGACTAAATCTTCTTCTTGAAGAAACCTGACAGTTTGGTAAATGTTACCTTTGTATGTTTTGAAATTGTACTGGAATAACACCTGTCAAATGGAAAGAGGAGCAGGTGCTCTCTAGGCAGAGGAGAGAATAGTCAGAAAAGGGAACAGCATGTGCAAAGGCCTCAAAGCTCCAAGGGTCAAGTAGTGGAGAGAATGTGTCAGCTGCCACACATGCAGGACTCAACCCAGCTACCCCAGCGGCTTCATGCAGTAATTCAGAACCAAAGCATTGCTAATCGGTCTATTGCATGGCCCAGGAAACCGACGTAGAATAATTCCTTTTTTTTTTTTTTTGGAAATGGACATAGAATTTAAACCAGTCAAAGAAGCGACAAAATAATTAAAACAAGCTACATAGAAATTTTTGCTTCTGTCATTAATTTGTTGTATTAACCAACAAACTAATTATTAGAAGCAAATCGTTGCTTCTGTTATTGGTTTGTTAGTATTAATTTCTAGAAATTACTGGATTACAGATTTGTTAACCTCCATTTCCAGGTTGCTCTTTTGAAAGATTTTATCAGTTAATCACACTAGCAGCATATGAGAGTACTACTTTTGTCAGAGTCAGAAATTCGAAAAGGTGATTACTCACTCTTCAGTTTTGACCTATCAGCCCTTTGTTTCAATGCTTTTTTGGGGGGTGGTGGGGGCACGGAGTTTTTGCTCTTGTCGCCCAGGCTGGAGTGCAGTGGTATGATCTCAGCTCACCGCAACCTCCGGGAGTCCTGAGTAGTTGGGACTACAGGCGTGCACCACTGTGCCCGGCTAAGTTTTTGTATTTTTAGCAGAGATGGGATTTCATCGTGTTAGCCAGGATGGTCTCGATCTCCTGACCTTGTGATCCACCTGCCTCAGCCTCTCAAAGTGCTGGGATTACAGGTGTGAGCCACCATGCTTGGCCTAATTTTGTGTTTTTAGTAGAGATGGGATTTCTTCGTGTTGGTCAGACTGGTCTCGAACTCCTGACCTCAGGTAATCTGCCCACATCGGCCTCCCAAAGTGCTGTGATTACAGGCATGAGCCACCGCTCCCAGCTCTGTCACCAGGCTGGAGTGCAGTGGCGAGATCTCAGCTCACTGCAGTGTTTGTCTCTTGGGTGCAAGTGCTTCCCCTGCCTCAGCCTCCCGAGTAGCTGGGACTACAGGTGTGCACCACCATGCCTGGCTAATTTGTTGTACTTTAGTAGAGACAGGGTTTCATCATGTTGGCCAGGATGGTCTTAATCTCCTGACCTTGTGACCTGCCCGCCTTGGCCTCCCTAAGTGCTGGGATTACAGGCTTGAGCCACCGCAGGTGGCCTCAGTGCTTTTAATATACAGTTTTCCTTTCTTCACTATTCCTAAGTAGGTAAACAGCTTTTTTGTGATTCTGGTTCAATTTTACTTTATACTATTGAGTAATGTTTTCAAAATATTCTGAAAAAGGTTGATCATGTTGTTTGACTTGGCATTATTTCTGTGTTCACCTTTTAAAATTCATTAACCGGATCACCTTCAAATATGTTAAGTACATTTTATTATGTGTTTCTTTTTCCAGCCAAAAAGCCAACAATATATATTGAACCAAAATTTGAGTGTTTTATTACCATGAATACATGTAGGTAGCCCTGTATGTTTACAGTGTAGCACAAACCCTTTTACTTGTGTAATTAATGCCTCCAACACCAGTGTTGTCCTTATTTCCGTTTAACAGGTGAGGAAACTGAGGCAGAAGTCTTATGATTTTTCTTAATCATTCTTAATCATAGCTATGTGTACTATGATCCACTAAGGTTTTTAGTGCAAGGTGTTTATCAAATAAGTCAGTATTTTTTAATTTAAAAAATTCATGTAGAATACAGTAGTCCGCCCATATCCATGGGTGATACATTTCAATACCCTCCGTGTATGCCTGAAACTGTCGCTATTACCAAACCCTGTATATACTGTGTTTTTTGCTTATACATAAATACTGTACAGTGCAGAGCATTCACGTCCTGGGCAGGATAGTTCAAGGTTTCAGCATGCTACACAAAATGGTGTGCAATTTAAAAGTTATGAATTGTTTATTTTGGGGATTTTTAAATTTAATATTCTCAGACCTTGGTTGACCATGGCTGACTGAAACCTTGGAAATCTAAAATCCGGATAAGGAGGGCTACAGTGTTGTCTTTTTTGATAGCTTCTGAATTGGAACAACTACTTTAATTGTAGCCTTAACAACCCAGTTAGTTTCACGAGTTTGCATACCATCACCCAGTCCGGGTCACCCTACTATGTTCTTGTAATTATTGGTATTATTTTATAATTGTACAGTGTGGCCTTGTTGACATGTTAGCTATCGGGCCAGCCACATGCATTACAAAGTTCAGCACTGTTGGTGTTTCAGGAATTACCAAGCCTTCTTGGAAAGCATTCAAGCCAGACTGTGTGTGTACCTAATTCTGGTTGGTATAGTGCCAGTGTATTAACTTTTATTTAAATAAAATTCCAACAGGTAACATTTATTATTACTATACTGCTGTCACAGAGTGCCCACACTTTAATGATGTTTTTGAAAGTCAAATATTAGCACAGTAGATCCCCTTTCTGCATTAATTTTTATCACACCCTATGTGATATGGTCAATACTACGTAATTTCATCCATATAACACAGAAATATCATTACAAATACATGGCTGATGCTGTATGATCATTACAATTCTGTATTATGTGAAATTCTCTGGCACCATAACCTTGTACTCTCTTCTATCATACGACAATCCACACCACCCTACCCCTCCTTTGCGATTAGTAGTTTTGGGGAAATTATTAATAGCGTGGTACTGAAATACCAAGGCACCAACTGGGGTTGGTCTTGGGGTTGAGGTGATAATTAGGTGGATGGCAGCCATGAACCTGGGTGTCTGCATAGAATTACTGTGAATATGAGATCCCATCTGAAAATTCTGACTTCTCCTGAATTAGAGTTAGTAGAGTTCCTTGGTCTCTCTTGTGACATGTTATAGAAGGTCTTTAAACATTTTGAGATTCCAGTGGTAACATTACTGGTGCAAAATCAAAAGTTGACACCTGCTTTGGAAACTGATTTGCCATTCAACTTGTAAATTTGAACATTTGCATATCCAAGGATATCTACCACTTCCAGTCCCAAATATTATCTAAGAGAAACTCTAGTGCATGATTTCCAGGAGACTTGCAGAGAGGAATTGCAACATGGTTCATGATAGCAATAAACTAGAAGCGCCTTAGATGCCCTTGGACATGAGAATCATGGTGGAATACCTACCATTCATCAGTTGTGTAGTATTATAAATACTCCATTGTGTAATAATGAAAATGGATAGGCAAGCGATATAATAAGCAAGGCCACGGATGGATCTTAGTAACTTGATGTTGAGTTGGAAAAAACCCAATTCCCATTGGAACCTGTTTTGTAAAGTTTATAATCAAATGCAGTGAAACAAAATGCTATTTATATATGTTTATGTTATAATATTAAAAAGTTAGCACATAGGCAAGGCTTTAGGTTATGTTTGAGTAGTTTGGTTTGGCAGCGGGTTCACAGATATTCTTTATATCCTTAAAAATTAAAGTGGATTGATTATTCAGAGGACTTTGGTTTAAGATTTATGACTTGCTCTGATATTTCACTGTTGAAACTTAGATGGTGGTGCCTTCAGCCTATTAATGAACATGGATGGAGCAAAGAAAAGTTCTTCCCCAGTCTTTCCGCCCTCTGCTCTTTCTTGTCTTTAAATATTGTAAGTTGTGTTGTTATTCCTAAATTGAATCCATTTCTTAGTGTTATTCTTGGTCTTCCAGAGGATGCTGTGAGTCTAATAGGGTAGTTTGCATGTTTCTTCTTTAGTAGGGGACCAACATTTCATGTAAACAGTCTAAAACTTATGGCTATTTACAACGGAGAGTTTTGTTAAGTCTCCTTCCTGGCCTGACAGACACAGGACTGACTCGCATGTACTGTGTTTTAGGAAATATTGCCTGCATGATCAGGAAGTAATGACGATGGTCAGGCTTTTCTTATTTCTTAAAATTTAAATACCCGTTTCTCTTTAATTGACTAGAATAGGAGGAAGCAGTGGAGATAGGAAAGGGGCAGATAGTGTTTTATTAGTGCTGATGCCTGTGTGCACTCTGAGTGTTTGAGTGACAGAACTGGGGGTGTTCAGGAAAACCACTAATCATACGTGATTCTGAAACTTCATTTCTGGCCAACTGTTTATGTCTCGGCGTTTCTACTTTTCTTACCAACCTTGCTGAGAATTAGCATAATCAGAATATCTGCCTCAGGTCTCCTTTCCAATTCTCTGCTTTGGGTGCTGTTGATCATTGAAGCAGCCAAAAGACATGTCCCAGTAGAAGGAAGAGGAAAAAGGCCAAATAGTCATCCCCCGAATGTCCTTTAATTGACTCTGTATGACTTACGCTGTAGTGGGGTGCATTCCAAACACTTGTTCACTGTTAACAGGAACGTGCTGCACTGTAGAGCACTAAATAAGGGTCTGCTCTGGGGGCTCACCCTGGCAGCCATTGGAGAGCACCTCTTCTCCAGCCTTCTATGTTCTGTAGGGAATTGTATATTGAGGTTACCCCACCCCTTCTTCCCCAGTGCCACTGGGTTCTCGGATAGCCTCCTGTCTGTTGAGACATAGGAGCTACCTCTGTGACCTTTGCTAAGAGACAAACTTGTTTTTAGCCACAGTTTCATCATCTATGAAGTGGGGGAATTGTAGTAGAGTATCTCTGAGGCCCTATGTATAATTATGATTTTAAAGTGGTGGATATCAACTAGACACTAAGGAGGACCATCATCTACCTTCGTGATGTCTGTGTGTGTGTGTGTGTTTATGTACATGTATATATATATTTATGTTTATATATTTTTGATGTAAGAAGTTGTGGCATGTTCATGAGCTTTAATTATTTAGGAAACAAGAGTTGGCCATTGTGGAGAGAATACCCGCTAGCCTGGGTGACTTCACTCCTGAGCAAAGTTGACATCTACCTTCAGGGTTTTTGTGAGGTATAAATAAGTTACTGTGTGTGAAGTATTAGAACCCAGAAGGTCCTCGTTAGATGGTTCCACAACTAGGAAAGAAGAAACTGAAAGTATTAGTAAGGCATGTTTCCATTTCCTCTGGATGCATCTGAGGAAAACTTCCAGTGCCATGTGGACTTGGCCACCATCTTCCTCCCATTGGAAGGGCATGAAGAGAAGCATGTGGTAGTGTTGAGAGCATGTGTTTTGGACATTATCATTGCTGGTTGAAGTTCAAAGAAAGGCTTCAAGAAAATTGACTTTAAAAATCAAAAAGCTATAACATATGAAAGGAGATGTGTACTCCAGTTGTCTGAGGCCAGGGAGCTGGCCAGCCCTCAGTTGGACTCCTGCCTTTTTCACCCCTCCCAGCAGCTGCCAGACCACAGAGCCAGTTCTGTGAAAGATCCTCAAGAAACAATGAGAGAAAACAGCTTCTGTTTGATTAGATTAGATCAATTTATGTGCCTCGGGGAGGGGCCTGCGCAGGGCAGGGGGAGGGGTGCCCCTCTGTTGTTGGTGGGGGCAGCGGTGGCCCATGCGGTCACTTCATAAGTAATGAGGCTCCGTGGAAGCTGGAATCAGAGTAAGGGGGAGGGCGGGCTGGAGGAGGAGCATGTGGAAAGAGATTTCTGCAGTCTGTCTGGAGAGCTGCCCAGGTTTCCCAGCCAAAAAAACAAATAAAAATAAATAAAAGGCAAGTGCTGAATGACACAGATTATGATATTAAAAAGGGATGCCATTGAAACTGCGCCCTGGAGTCCGCTGTCTGTGGGGGTGGGGTGTGCTTGGCAATGGGGTGGGGGCATCTGACCGGCTGGGGACACAAAAGTGTGCACAATTAAACTGTGAATGTCCCCCTCCCCCCATATGTCAGAAATTCTATACTTCGGATTTGTCTGCATTGCAGGTTGGGGAAATGGCAGGATGAAAAGCTAGTGACTCTTTTCCTTTTTCTCATTTTAATTTATCAGGGTGGGGGGAGCCAGCCGGAGACCCCTCCTCTTTGGTGTTCGATTCCCTCCCTTGCACATAAATAACCTTCTCTCCTGGCTGCCTCCCCTCCCCCTCGGCCCCATTGCTGTTCTGGCCGTCCTATTGCCGCGCGGAATCTGCACTGCCGCTTGCTTATTACGTACAGGGGAGGATTGTTGACAAGTGCTCCGGAGCCTGCCTCACTGCGCTCTTCCTCCCTCCCTCCCTCTGTCCTTCTTCCTCTCTGTCTCTCTGCAATGATCCGGCTCTGAGGATGGCTGCTCCACGGGTCTGTCAGGTGCAGTTTTTGGTGGCTTATCTTGAGGAACCTGGGATAGAAGGTCTGTTCCTATAAATAAAAGACAAACCAAATAGCTCTAGATTTGTTTCAGGCTGGTATGGCTTTTGTTGGAGAAATAGGCCTTTGTGGGTTTCCCTGCTGGGGTCCTGATTAAATCCATTGTGGATGGCAAGGTGCTATATATATATATATATATGAGAGACTATGTAAAAAGTGTTGCAATTTGCTTAATATTAATATTCTTTTAGCTTTGATATCCTCCCTAGGGGCAATGGTGGCTCCTGCAAAGGCACTGTGGAAATTTACAAGAGAGAATTAATGTCGCTCTTAAAGCATTAAGCTCTGTTGACCATTTTGGCCAAAGCTGCAGTTTCAATCAGGCTTGTATGACTTTAGACATTTCTCTGGAGACTGAATGCCATCCAGCTATAGCTGGTCCCTTTTATTTTATTACCAATTTATCTGATCATTTCCCAGCATTTAAAAATAAATGTTTGATTAAAGTTAATTAGTTCATCCTCACCATAGCTCTGGTTTCCTTCATAAACAGCATGTTTGCTTTCATTTCCATTAATCCTTTCTTTTTCTTCCTCCATCATCTTTCCTTGAAAGATGGAGGAAACTGAGGCATGCAAATAGATCCTGAGACCTGAAGTGGTTCTGGATTGAGACCTTTAAACTTCGAGTGCTCTTGATTCTTCTCCCGAATTTCGTGCATTAATTCATGTCTGTATTACTGTCTGTAAACACAGATGAATTTCAGGAACCTTCAATGTTTGGTGCCTCAAATCTTAGCAGATTCCATGGCCACATTCCTATAGTGCTGCTTTCTGTACTGCTTCCATTCATTATATTTCAGTAGTGGAAAGAATGCTGCTCTGGGAGGCAGTAGGCCTTTCTGAAGTTATTTGTTGTCAGCAGTTTTTTTTTTTTTTTTTTTTTTACTTTGAATGGACTACTTAATCCTCTCTGAATATATTCATTTGAAAAGTAGGAGGGCAGTTGATTTCTTGATATGTGAGTGAGGTAATAAGGAAACAGGGGAACTACTGTCCCTCCTAGTCATGCTACAAAGAAAACAGAACTTAGAACTTCCAAGAGATTCCTTTTATCCTAGGGAATGAAGGCAGCCCAGAGAGGTTTCAGGGCAAAGGGTGTGGCTGTTTATTTATCTACAAATTATGGTGTCAGTCAGGACACAAAGTTTGTGGAGCTTTGCCCATTTATCATTACAGATTAGTACACAAACCGATAACTTTATGGCACTTGTCGATCGAGTTAAAGCAGCAGCTTTGCTTATCTTTGGAGAGCCTGGCTCAAATTGGATACCTGGTTTCTTTTGGTACCTTACATTTGTGGGGTAAAGATGATAGGAAGCTTTAGAGACCTAAGTACATACACACTTGTAATTACTTGAAGGTAGAAGAATATCATTAGCTATCTGTGAACATGCTGTGTTCATGGACATCTCCCTTTGAGAAGTGCAAATTCTGTGAGATGAGAAATCAAATTTGGGCCTGTTAGTTTATCTGAACACAAGACTTTCCACATGTTGGGCCCATTTATCTGTCTTAGAAAAAATCTCAAAAAAAAATGCCCTTGTGTTTCCGTCTCCTTCATGTGACTGAGTTCCCTTGCTCTGCAGTGATGCCATTGTTCTGCCGCTCATGGTTACACATCAGCCTAAGCCCACTGTCGCCTTGAGTCAGTTTTCTTCTGTAGGCGGCTTTTGACCTTGGAGGTGGTCAGTTCTGGGCCCTCTGTGGTGTGGAATTCTTTTCATGAGCTGATAGAAGCTCGAGTTGCATATCCTAGGGGATTCCAGGGATTTATATTTTGGTGCGTATTTATAACTGGGTTGTCTGGTGGGTGTGTGTTTGACTGGGTTGTCAGTGTAAAATTAAAAGGGTGTTGAAATGAAGTGTGGACCCAGAGCAGTTACGGCCTGGGATAGAGTAGTCATGGGATTGGACACAAAACTAGAACTGCCGATTGTAGAGCATCGTGGGTGTTTATAATTCAGTCATTATTATTATTCTAGGTACTGTACTTGTTCTGATTGTTATAAAGGTCATATTAAGGATGAAGAAGGAGTGAAGAGGGGAAGAGAGTGGGGAGGATGAGCCCTTGCCCCAAAGAAGTAACAGGGAGTTGTGCCAAAATGAGCAGTACATTTATGTTCACAGTGGTGATCATCAGAGTTTAAATAGCTTCTGGTCTGTTTGGGAAATCTTTCATGAAGATCACGGCTCTTTGTTTTTGTGAGAGGTTTTGTGTTGAATAAAGTTAAACTGTCAGCCTTGTTGTCTATTTTTATTTATTTTTGTTGGAGCCTTTCAGTGAGCAGTGTTTTCTGTCCCCCTGGGATTGTTGGTTAGGATGTACGAAGGGGAGATCTTTTGTCTTTTGGTGGTTCTTACTCATTTGGGGTCTAGAGAGCCAGAATGGGGCCCATTCTAGTAGTAGCAGTGTTCTGCTTACCTCTTCCTCTGAGGAAATAGGAGATATCTGCTGGGTTTGTTCCTTTGTAGCTCAAGGCGTTTATTGCCTTCTGGGGCCCAGGGTCCTATCTTTCTCAAAGAGTCATTTACTTGTTTCTGAAATAGGAAAAAAAGGATAGAGTCAGACATTTTCCTTATCTACCCAGTGACCCAACTTTTCCATGTTAATAATGAACACTGTGTCAGGTCTTAGTATCTAACGCTTTCTCAAAAAATTGTGCATGCAAAAGAGGTGTAGATTGTTGAAGGTGTGTCGTGGGGGCGGATTCTGGTGGTGGTGAGAGAGCTCTTGTGAGATTGTTGATTTACAAATCAGTATTTACATCTGTTTTTGCAGGGGTTAAATATAACAAAAATATGTCCCCCGCGTCCACCTATTCATCCTCCCCATTCCTGCCTCCAAATCTTGGGACTGTTTTAAGTAGTGATGGGTGGGGGTGTTTTTGGATTGTCTTTTCTTGACCGGAATGGGAAATCTCCATAGCTGATTTGACAGTAGACAAAGGGGAGCCCTAGTCGGCTCAGGGGCTGGTCTCATAAGGGAAAGGGATAATTATTTTCCATAAGCCGAGGTATGAAACCACTTTCATTTGTGCCTCGTTGACCACAAGTGTGCCACCGACATCCTGCCTCATGACTTGGCATTTGTTCTCAGTCACACCAGTGTGTTGATCTGGTGAGCAAGTCAGTGGACAAGCCTGGGCTGTGCTCTGCAGACCCTGTGCCCTGCTCGCCCCTCTCCCTGGAGCTCTGTGCTCCATTGGAAGCTTCACATGCTGACCTGCATGTGTACAGTGATGGGCAAACTCCATGTTCATATTGACCATGCCAAGCAGGCCCAAAGCCAAATCTGCCCTGGCATCGGAATGCCTACCCTGCTTAAAAAGCAATTCATTTTTTTTTCTCTTTGCAAAACTTGAGTGAACATAACATTTATTTTTCACTATCAATGGCAGCAAACCATGCATTCTGATGACCTCAGAGAGGGCCCTACCTCAGCCATGGGGGCTGCTTTTATAATTTTTCTATCATCTTAAAGTGCACACACACACACACACACACACACACACACACACACACACACACACACACACAGAAATTGCTGCTGAAAATGAAAGCTGTCTTTGGATGCTTGACTGTTTGATATGTAATGTGATAACCTTGTCTCACAGTGACAGGGTGACAGACGGCATTGGCTCTATAATACAGAATTACCTTTTGTGCATCTTTTCTACAACAAAGCTAAATACATTGAGTCACCCTAATATGCTAATGACTTTGGTGTGCTCCAGATGTTTTAGAAGCCCTGGAACAGCCTCAAAGCCCTCCTTGTTTTTCCTTTCTTTTTAACCCTTGTTTTGGGGCACTGCTTTTGTGGAATAGAGCCATTGGCTTTTCCTTTAGTTTTCTATTGTCATGTATGTGTAGCTAATGAGAGAGGACTGGTAAAACTTCTTTGTGTCTAAAACATCATAAAATGATACAGACTACATGCTCTAGTCCCTTTTTTTTTCCAGATATTAGAAAAGAGTTGTCTTCTGTCCATACATTTGTGTTCTGAAATCTGTCGTTCTCATTGGTTGCTTTAGAAGTTCCTTCAGCTAAAGGAATCTTTGGCCTAATTTGTGTTTCAATTTTCCCAACGCCCATCATATAAGGCAAGAGGGAGATAGCCATACACTAGTGTCTCCAGTTACCAAGAACAACAGGAATTCCTATTCCATTTTGATGCTGCTGTTCCAGACTCAGAAGCCTGTTTTGTTGTATTGTTTTGTGCGGTCTTTTCATTTCTTGCTAATTTGGGAGATGCGGTGAAAAGCTCCTGAATGTGCAGAGCTGCTGATGGCAGGGTTCTGTTGTGTTCAATTTCTTTAGAGTTCTCGGCTGCACAAATGGACACTGCCTTGTGGCTAAATGGTCTTGGATCCCAGACGCACTTCTCCCGTCAGCTGATGGTGACTAGCTGAGGTTGCAGGCACAGTAACCAAGCTGCCTTTACTGCAATGATTTACAATTTTCAGCTCATATTTATTGCTTTTGTGAAAGACAATAGACATGGTTTAATTTAAGTTCAACCTACTGAATATTAATAGAGGAGAACAAATGCTAATGGGATAGACTGACTCTTTGGGCCATTCATTCAATTTCCTCTGTTTAACCTCCTCTCCCCAACAAAGGTTTGTGTTGGTCGGGGTGGGGGAGGGGGTTGGAAAAATAAAAACGGTTTGAGTGTGTGAAGGAGGGGATGCCATTTCATTATTTCTCGTTGACTAAAAATAATAATTTTAACAATTGGTGGCAGGGCTTTGTTAGGGGAGAGAAAAGGCAGTACATTAGCTTGGCTAATGTTATAATAATGGCTCTGTTGCCCTGTGGCGTCATATTCCATCTTGCTGACCTGGCCCTCCTGGATTGGGCAGGCTGTATGATTGGGCTTAAAACATTCAAAATGAAATGTGGTAGCCAGTACAGTGGAGATTGGTCGCCAGCGGGGGGGTTAGATAAAGAAAAAGCCCAGGTTTATTTAACCATGTAGGCTGTCTGACTATTAATAAATGTAAATGTTTTCTGGGCTGATATATACAGAATGGAAGTACTCACATTGAAAAAGTTGATCACGTGCAGAATAAAGTCAGTCTTGCGCCTTCGTAAGGGCCAGTAAAATCTATGGTCCTGGCCAGGCGCGGTGGCTCACGTCTGTAATCCTAGCACTTTGGGAGGCTGAGACAGGTGTATCACAAGGTCAAGAGATCAAGACCGTACTGGCCAACATGGTGAAACCCCGTCTCTACTAAAATTACAAAAATTAGCTGAGCGTGGTAGCGAACGCCTATAGTCCCAGCTACTCAGGAGGCTGAGGCAGGAGCACTGCTTGAACCTGGGAGGCGGAGGTTGCAGTGAGCCAAGATTGTGCCACTGCGCTCCAGCCTCATGACAGAGCGAGACTCTGTCTCAAGGTCGGGGGAGAGGGGAGCCTATGGCCCTTTAATTTGTATAAAGGCAGTTCCTTATGTATGGGCCCCATTTTATGAATCTGGAACATGAATGTGATTCTCTTCTAGTTCAGGTACTCATTGCAATCCTCAGAATGGTGGAAAACTTGGAGTTCTTGGAAGATTTAGTTAGATAAGGGCCTGGAACAATGGAGTCAGTACTTTGATTTCTTTTTGCTCAGTCATGCCTTATCAGAGTAGCCTTATCTGTTTTGCATTTTGCTTACATAAAATCGTTTAATATTCCTAGGTATTTTTCATGTGTAAAATCTCTTCATAAAATTACCCCTAATTTATACTTAAGCAATTGATTTGCAGGGTGAGAGGGTGGTTGGGGAGAACATTACACATCTCTTTACATTTATGCTTCTTAGACATGCACATTTTTTCCAACCTGTTAACTTTTTTGTCTCTATTTGTCACGTTGGCTGATTCTTGTAACTTTGTGACATTTTGCAGGCAAGTGTCTTTTTTTTTCTGCAAAATTATTGATAAAAGGTACATGAGGCCATGTGCGGTTTTCACGCCTGTAATTCCAGTGCTTTGGGAGGTCGAAATGGGCGAGGATTACTTGAACCCAGGAGTTTGAGACCAGCTTGGCAACAAAGCAAGACCCCATGTATAAAAAAAAAAGAAAAAAATTAGTGGGGCATGGTGGTGCACACTTGTAGTCCCAGCCATTCGGGAGGCTGGCTTGAGCCTAGGAGGACTGCTTGAGCCCAGGAGGCTGAGGCTGTTGTGAGCATGTCACCGCACTCTAGCATGGGTGACAGAGCAAGACCTTGTCCCTCTGCACCCCCACCCCCCAAAAAACAAGTCCCCAGAGCAGCCAAAGCAGCATTAGTGTCACCTGGGAATGTGTTAGAACGGGGGACACTTGGGGGGTGATTCGCATGCATGCTCAAGTTTGAGAGTCACTTCTCTTTACAGTCACCCAGATTCATTTTGTCAGGAGGACAGAAGCAAAGCTGTCATCAAAAAGCTTAACTTTCTTACTTACTTGCTAAATCATTTGTTCATTCTTTCATGCATTCACCTCTTATTCAGCTAAGACTTCAGCTGCTGTTATGTACCAAAGGGTATAGGAACCCTTCCCAGTCTTCCTGAGCTGCTCCTAGTCCTTATTTAGTTCGTTTTTTATACCAATATAGCTCTTCTTCCTCCTTGTCCTCTTCGTCCATCACCACTTCGTGTTTTTAGGCTTACTGCAAATCCCAACTTTCTTGTTCTTGTTTTGGTATTGCAAGCTTGCCGGCTGGCTCCATTGGCTCACTCATTATCCTCTCCATCACATTCTTTTCTTCACTTACTACTGAGTGATGCATATGTCTGTGTTTGTCTGTCTCTCCTAATTTTAGATTTTGATTAACCTGTATCCCCAGTGCCCTGGCATATAGTATTTGTTAAGTAAATTAATGGATAAATTCAGAATTGATCCCTTTTTTGCCTTCTGTGCTTTATTCTCCATTATGTTATTCCCACCTTGTGCTATTGAAAAAAGGAAACTTCAGGTCAGGTGCAGTAACTCATGCCTGTAATCCCAGCACTTTGGGAGGCTGAGGTGACTGGATCCCTTGAGCCCAGGAGTTTGAGATCAGCCTGGGCAACATGGCGAAACCCCATCTCTACAAAAAATACAAGGATTAGCTGGGCATGGTGGCATGTGTCTGCGGTCTCAGCTGAGGCAGGAGGATTTCTCCAGCCCAGGAGGTCAAGGCTGCAATAAGCTATGGTTGCGCCACTGCCCTCCAGCCTGGGCAACAGAGCGAGACCCTATCTCAAAAGCAAAAAGAAAAATTTGAACTCCACCAAGACGATACATATTTACGATGTGCATCCTCTTTTTTTCCTTTTCAGTTTTACATCTGGTTCTTTAACCAGCATTTTTATTTTCAGTTTTCTCTATGGTAATTTATCCATCTTCTCTTTTTACAGATAAGATAAATATTATGTTCCTTGGCCAACTCTAATCTCAGTTAAATGTCGTCTGTATCCTAATTGGGTGGGAAGAGGGATCCCCCACTCGCATAGTGACACTACTAATGTGATCTGAGTGCTGATCAGTAAAGATATTATTTAAACTACATACGTAATTTTAGTTTCTGCAGTCACACTCAAAAGAAGTAGGTGAAATCAATGTTAATATATTTGATTTAATCTACTCCAAAACATTTCCACAATTAATACAACATTGTCAATGACATGTTACATTCTGATATTAAATTACAATTAAGTAAAATTAAAATTTATTTTCTTATCCACACTGGGCATATTTCAGGTGATCAGTAGCTGCACATGACTAGTGGCTACTGTAATGGAGAACATGGCTTCAATCTCTGAAACACTGGCCACGCTTTTATCCTTGGATTCTTAGATTTCCATACAGTTGTCTTCTTTTGCCCTCACAGTGCAGACTCCCAGCATTTTCTTTGGGGGTTTTTGTATGTTTCTATTTCTGTATTGTAGTCACAACTCTTAAAGCCTCATTAGTCGAAGTGAATAACCGTGTGTTTTATTTTCAACCTCATGTTATCACTCATACTCTGAAATGATGTAAAAATAGGTAACTGGGGAAATGCAAGCAGAAACAAGCCAGGTCCCAGGGCTTTGTTGATGTGTACTATGTTCATTCAGAATGTTTATGTATTTTTTAATCAAATACATAGAACACTGTGTTCTACATAGTGTTTAGTACAACTAACAGAAGTCACTTTCTGAGATACTTCAGTCACAAAGACTTAATACAGAGAAATGAAGTGTGCATAAAATTGGTGGAAGGACTAGAAGAGCAAAAATCAAGGGGCCACTCCGTATTTTTGGCTTCAAGATCAAGCACCGTAAAACTGCAGATGCTGTGCTAGCAGTGCTGCTCCTGCCCAGTTCTGGTTGCCTTCGAGGGTTGTGACTAGATAGTGGACAGCGGGTCTAGTTGCTGTGGACATGTCTTATCAGTGGAAGCTTCTTGTTGGCAGAACCTACATTGATGTAAGGGACTCTGAGGCTTTGTTATTCACCCGTTTCCCTATAGTGTGACCTTACTGCTGGTTAGAATACTTCCATATCAGTTAGTACACAGCTGCTTTTTAGAGCCCCCAAGGGCCTGCAGCTTCTTTCCATATTTTGGTTACTAAAAGCACATCCATGAGCACCAAGACTCCCCTGCTTATCATCTGCTATCATAGAGAATCCTTATCCTTTGAGATGATCAAAGGCAAATCCGGTTACAATCTAATCTTGTAGATGGCTATGAAGAAAAACAAGTGGAGTAGGATTTCTAGTTAATATCTAAGATGTAGCTGCAAAGATAAGGATGCCTTTTCTTGTGTGGCAGGTACTGGTTCCTGCAGGCAATTCCAGAAAGGATTTCAGTATCTGTAGAGTCAATATTTACCTCTTCAAGAGTGACTAGTTTGATAACAGATACTCCTTTCTTCCTTTCAACCCTTTAGCTGCAAAAGATGTTTATGTACTCTTTAAAAACGAATCCTGAAGTATAGTGTTACAGTTCCAAATTTCTGCTCAAATTTCTTACTGTTGAAATTGTTTCCCTCTTAGGCATTTCACTCTCTTTAAAGGTCTCATAGAATGAGGTTTTGCTTTTCTCCACCCATTCAAAAGGGATGTGTGCTTTTAAATTCTCTTCTATCCACATTCTTGTCTGTCTTCATCAGCGTTGTGTAGGGTTAACTGTGGTAAAGTGCTGCCTCCTGATGTGATGTATTTAAGTGTTTGTCCCCTTTTCTCACCTGTAGGGCTCCTTGGTAATGACCAGTCTAAGGGATTAGGACCAGCATCAGAACAGTCAGAGAATGAAAAGGACGATGCATCCCAAGTGTCCTCCACTAGCAACGATGTTAGTTCTTCAGATTTTGAAGAAGGGCCGTCGAGGAAAAGGTTAGTACCCAAGGCTGAAAATATTGGTACCTTCAACCAGGGACTGCAAACTCAGGTGCCAGTTTTCACCACATGATAACGTGAGCCCATTCACCCAATCTCTTGATTTTCATAGAGGAGCCAGAATCATGAGGTTTCGTATCAAATGCCCTGCTTTCTAAGTATTGTCTAATAATTATAATTAAAAACGGGAAAAAAAAGTGCTCTGGACTGACAGCACATGTTCCTGCTGGAACAGTTAGCCAAAGAGTTGCCAGCTTGTAATGCCTGTCTTAACTGTTCATTTAAATTGATTCTCAGCAGCAGCCATCTTGAGGAATATATATATTAGGTGATGTTTTGCCATTTCTGAAAAGAGATCTTTCTAAAAATTTGAAGAAGTAAATGTGGTGTTTCTGAGACGTTTTTTCCTTGTCAGGAAAGCTGAAATTACACTGTGTATTTTTAATCCCTTGCTGTTTTACCAAGTTCCAAGTTAGTAGCTGTGGAATTGGTGCTTAAAACTTAGAACAGCAGTTATTTTTATGTGGCTTTCCTAAATAAGCTTCAGATAGTTTGGTAAGGAAGTTGGCTTTAGTAGTTTGATAACAGTTTGTGGTTTCATGGTCAAACAGTGGCAGTGACATTTTATAATAATGATTTTACTTGGGTGTTTTTGAAACCCTTTGCCTAGTATCTACCCTACTTCATACCTGATATGTTACTTCCTTTTTTTCCCTGTTAGAATTTATATTTCCCTTTGTTCTCTTTATGTTTACCTGGAGGACCAGCTTCCTGACTTTTTCTTAGAATTTGTTCGTTTCCGGGATTGAAGGAAAAGAAAAAAAAAATCCCCCTTGTCAGTTCATCTCTGTTTACTCATTCTGGAGAATTTACTTTTTAGAAGCAATCTACATGTATCTATCTAAAGAAGAACAGAATAGAGTGAAAAATTAAGAGAAAAGGACAAGATTAGCCATGTGTAGATATTTAAGATTCCTGTTTTCAGGACTGAAAGTTGAGATGCATAGCTCAAAGTCTTTATTTTCTCCATCATGAGGGTGTCGTCTTTTAAATAGCCTTTTAAATACATTGAATCTGTATTCTTCTCTCATTTTCTCTTCATCCTCAGCACTTTGTCTTAGAAGATGTCATAAGATTCGTTATTAGTATAGTTAGGATCTTCCCGTGTACTGAGCTTTGTATGTCACTCCTTTAAAAAGAGTGTCTCAGTGATGAACCTGTTATATTACAGATATTCCATAACAAACATTCCCCTGTTCCAGTTTAAAGCATGAATTATCACAAGAGAGTGATTTTAAGGATGTGTAAAAAATTGTGTCAGTAAATATATTGGAATGTGTGATAATATTATCCATGCCTCCAACATGGGCATCTGGCATGCATCTGGCATCAACTTTCATCTCCATTTGGGGAGCAGAATTCTCTGAGTCTGGGCACCCACTCCTTTAGCTATGTGGCTGGCCATCACCCTCACTTCTGGCTGAGAGCTGGTCAGCATCCGGGTGCAGTGATGTGTGTTGTAGGCTTCATTCTTAAGGAGGAGGGACTCTTTGTCCCTAACTCACTGTGATTCTCTCAGAAGATAGTGTTGCTAGCTTTCTCTTTGTATGGGACCACAGTGTCATGTGGCACCTGAGTGCAAAGCAGTCATTTAACTGGAATTCTTTAAGGTAGTAGAAAAGAGGAACTCTTTTTCAGAGTTAGCTGAAGGAAAACTTAGCCTTGGCAAATCGTTTTTAATTATTAATGTGTCAAGTATCTTACTGAATTAAGGATTCATTACAGCCTACTAACTTGGTTCTGGTCTCATCAAGGTTTTATGTGGATTAAGGTTTGATAGGCTTGGGTAGATTTTGGGGATGGGCTGGGGCACTCTTGATTATAGGAGGAAGATTTTGTAGCCTTCAAATGTGTAGTGTCATTAGGGTATGCATTTCTTTTTTTGGGGGGGTTGAGGGAGACAAGAGTCTCGCTCTGTCACCCGGGCTGGAGTGTGGTGGTGCAATCTCAGCTCACTGCAATCTTTGCCTCTTGGGTTCAAGCGATTCTCATGCCTCAGCCTCCTGAGTAGCTGGGATTACAGGCACACACCACCATACCTGGCTAATTCTTGTATTTTTAGTAGAGATGGGGTTTTGCCATGTTGGCCAAGCTGGCCTTGAACTCCCAGCCTCAAGTGACCCACCCACCTCCGAAAGTGCTGGGGTTATAGGCGTGAGTCACCACACCCAGCAGGGCATGCATTTCTTGGGGTGTTGCAGGGTATGTAGCAAGCATAAAATGATAACTTAAAGTCTTAAGAACTCCTTTGTTTTGATCCTTCGTCAGTATTTAGTGGGTTGGGTATGAACCCTGCCTTCAAAAGCAGAGTAAATGACTTGGGACCTGAATTTCCAGAGCTTCGGTAGTATACTGTTGAAACTGTAATATGTAACCTGTCTTCAACGCACATACAGAATGCCTTTTCTAATAGGGTAATGGAATGTGCTGACTCTGAAGATGAGAAGTTGAGCCTAAAGTAACTACCTATAATGGTTAATTTTAAAATATCTTTAGTGGATTGTTAAACAGATGCTGGTTTTTTTACTTGCGAGTTTTAAATTTCTGAAACATTATACATGGGAAGAGCTTGTGTTTTTGTTTTTTTTTTTTTTGTTTTTTTTTTTTTGAGACTGAGTTTCGCCTTTGTTGCCCAGGCTGCAGTGCAATGGTGCGATCTCGGCTCACCGCAACCTCTGCCTCCCGGGCTCAAGGGATTCTTCTGCCTCAGCCTTCCGAGTAGCTGGGATTACAGGCATGCGCCACTATGCCCGGCTAATTTTGTAGTTTTAGTGGAGACAGGGTTTCTCCATGTTGGTCAGGCTGGTCTCCCTACTTCAGGTGACCCGCCCACCTCGGCCTCCCAAAGTGTTGGGATTACAGGTATGAGCCACTGTGCCCGGCAGGGAAGAGCTTTTAAGACTGACCATTTGCATTCTCTTTTGGTCTTTAGACTTTGTAGGAGAAAATACTGATTCCTAAAAATTCATATTGTTGTAGTTTGTTTCGTGTTGCTGTAACAGAATAGCTGAGACGGGGTAACTTTAGAAATACAGAAATTTATTGGCTTACATTTCTGGAGGCTTGGTATTCAAAGATTGAGGGACTGCATCTGGCGAGAGCTTTCTTGCTGCATTATAACTTGGCAAGAGAGCACAAGAAAGTGCTAAGCTCGGTTTTTGTTGTTTGTTTTTCTTTTTTAAGTTTAGTTTTTAAAGAGATGGGATCTGGCTTTGTTACCCAGGCTGGAATGTAGTGGTGTGATCATGACTTACTGTGTTCTCTAAAGCCTGGGCTAAAGGGATCCTTGTGCCTCAGACTCCTGAGTAGCTGGGACTACAGTCAGTCACATGCCTCCACGCCTGTCTAAGCTTGCATTTATAACAAACCCACTCCCTAGATAGTGACATTATTCCGTTCACGAGGGCAGATCCCTCATGATGTAATCACTTCTTAAGATCTCACCCTCTCAGCACTGTTGGATTAGGGATTAGGTTTCCAACACATGAACTTTGGGGGCCACATTCAGATCATACTGCAGGGTCATAATTTATGTATGTGCTTTGGAAAGAGCATTTTCACTTTATTTTTTAGAATGATACGAATTGCTAGTTAGCTATACTTGTAGATTTAATTACTCCTACTCTACACATCCTTTTATGTGCATGATTTTAGAATCATCAGCAAAAAAATATGCCTTTTGTCTACAGTAGGGTGATGGGGAAAGGGGAAGACTGAGAGGGATTGTATGTGCTTGACTTCCTTCTTATGGAAAATAAAAATCTATGGTGGAGACTGATGCCAGCCTCAGTTCCAACTTTATCTAGTCTGCTTTTCCAACCTGCACGTTGAAGCAATTACATTTTTCTGATGATGCTAATAACATGTTTTAATTCTTCAGTTAAAACATCCATGTGTTTACTTAAGTGTTGTTTTTCTGCAGAAAACCCCCTGAGTCAGATTTTGCTGTGTGTATTTACTGCCAGTGCCTTTACTTGACACTAGGGATCTTTTTAGCTATAGAAACCAGTGGAGTCCAGAGTTCTTGAGGGTTTTGGAGTTTCCTCAAATTTCTAATTCTCTTCCTCAGAGTTTTTCTTTATGGAGGCAACTACAACAACAACAAAACTCAAAACCGGTATATTTTTACCTAGCCATTGAAAGGTCATCTGAGATGCCTCTTTACAAAAGGAAAGCCAGTCCCCCTTCAGAATCTGTCTGCTGTGTTCACGGAAAGGGCAGCCCAAGAAAAGATGAGTGGAGATTCTGTGCTGGTGGGACCCTGAAGGCTGAGTCTTGTTTTTAGTTCTAGATGTTGTTTTTCTTTTTCTTTTGATCATTGTGGTGGGTGAGATTGTTTTTTTTTTAAATGATATATTTACATAGTTTATAACATATATTTTTTTGTTTGTTTTTATTTATTTTTATTGATCATTCTTGGGTGTTTCTCACAGAGGGGGATTTGGCAGGGTCATAGGACAATAGTGGAGGGAGGGTCAGCAGATAAACAAGTGAACAAAGGTCTCTGGTTTTCCTATGCAGAGGACCCTGCGGCTTTCCGCAGTGTTTGTGTCCCTGGGTACTTGAGATTAGGGAGTGGTGATGACTCTTAACGAGCATGCTGCCTTCAAGCATCTGTTTAACAAAGCACATCTTGCACCACCCTTAATCCATTTAACCCTGAGTGGACACAGCACATGTTTCAGAGAGCACAGGGTTGGGGGTAAGGTCACCGATCAACAGGATCACGAGGCAGAAGAATTTTTCCCAGTACGGAACAAAATGAAAAGTCTCCCGTGTCTACCTCCCTCTACACAGACATGGCAACCATCCGATCTCTCAATCCCTTCCCCACCTTTCCCCCCTTTCTATTCCACAAAACCGCCATTGTCATCATGGCCCGTTCCCAATGAGCTGCCGGCTACACCTCCCAGACGGGGCGGTGGCCGGGCAGAGGGGCTCCTCACTTCCCTGTAGGGGCGGCCGGGCAGAGGCGCCCCTCACCTCCCAGACGGGGCGGCTGGCCGGGCGGGGGGCTGACACCCCCACCTCCCTCCCGCACGGGGCGGCTGGCCGGGCAGAGGGGCTCCTCACTTCCCAGTAGGGGCTGCCGGGCAGAGGCGCCCCTCACCTCCCGGGCAGAGGCGCCCCTCACCTCCCGGACGGGGCTGCTGGCCGGGCGGGGGGCTGACCCCTCCACCTCCCTCCCGGTCGGGGCGGCTGGCCGGGCGGGGGGCTGACCCCCCCCACCTCCCTCCCGGACGGGGTGGCTGGCCGGGCGGGGGGCTGACCCCCCCACCTCCTTCCCGGACGGGGCGGCTGGCCAGGCGGAGGGGCTCCTCGCTTCCCAGTAGGGGCGGCCTGGCAGAGGCGCCCCTCACCTCCCAGACGGGGCGGCTGGCCGGGCGGGGGGCTGACCCCCCCACCTCCCTCCCGGACGGGGCGGCTGGCTGGGCGGGGGCTGACCCCCACCTCCCTCCCGGATGGGGTGGTGCCAGGCAGAGACGCTCCTCACTTCCCAGACGGGGTGGCTGCCGGGCGGAGGGTCTCCTCACTTCTCAGACAGGGCGGCTGGGCAGAGACGCTCCTCACCTCCCAGACGGGGTCATGGCCCGGTAGAGGCGCTCCTCACATCCCAGACGGGGCGGCGGGGCAGAGGCGCTCCCCACATCTCAGACGATGGGCGGCTGGGCAGAGACTCTCCTCACTTCCTAGATGGGATGGCGGCCGGGAAGAGGCGCTCCTCACTTCCTAGATGGGATGGCGGCCGGGCAGAGACGCTCCTCACTTTCCAGACTGGGTAGCCAGGCCGAGGGGCTCCTCATGTCCCAGACGATGGGCGGCCAGGCAGAGACGCTTCTCACTTCCCAGACGGGGTGGCGGCCGGGCAGAGGCTGCAATCTCGGCACTTTGGGAGGCCAAGGCAGGCGGCTGGGAGGTGGAGTTTGTAGCGAGCCGAGATCACGCCACTGCACTCCAGCCTGGGCACCATTGAGCACTGAGTGAACCAGACTCCGTCTGCAATCCCGGCACCTCGGGAGGCCGAGGCTGGCGGATCACTCGCGGTTAGGAGCTGGAGACCAGCCCGGCCAACACAGCGAAACCCCGTCTCCACCAAAAAAATACGAAAACCAGTCAGGCGTGGTGGCGCGCGCCTGCAATGGCAGGCACTCGGCAGGCTGAGGCAGGAGAATCAGGCAGGGAGGCTGCAGTGAGCCGAGATGGCAGCAGTACAGTCCAGCTTCGGCTTGGCATCAGTGGGAGACCGTGGAAAGAGAGGGAGAGGGAGACCGTGGGGAGAGGGAGAGGGAGAGGGGGGAGAGGGAGAGGGAGAGGGGCTAACTTATATTGTTTAGAATGGAACCATTACAGAGACTTTCATCCTGTTCTGAATGTGAAGGTGGCCCTGCCTATCTCCTTTCTCATTTTGCCCTTTTATTCCACTCAGTTCTTCTTGTAAAGTGTGTATTTGCCCCATCAGTCTCTCAGTATGTGTAGAAACCAGAATGGATGGATTTTGGTCATTTGGGTGTGGACTTGTGGTCAGAAACTCTTTGGAAGGATGGTTATGGAGGTGAGGATTATTTGTTTGAGGAATGAAACGATAATGTACAGTTAATTTGGTGATGGTATATTTTTAGATGCAAGTAAATACGAGATCTGAAGTGTACGATTCAAAAGAGGTCATCTGAGTTGGCGACTAAAATAGAGAGCAAGATTAACTGTTTATTTTTATCTGTGGGTGAGTAGGGGGAAGAGGGTAGAAAAATTTCACGAGAACAGTGGTTCTTAAGCGGGTTTTGTGGAGACTGTGGTGCAGCATAAGAGTATAGACTGGGGCCAGGCTGTGTGACTTCTCATTATATCTTGAACATTTACTTGTTGTGTTATATAATGCAACAGGTATTGTATCATACCTGTTGGGCAGGTTATATAATATGTCTGGGCCTTAGTTCTCTCATCTGAAAGATGTGAATCACAGTAGTAACTGCCTGATGGTGTTTTGTGACCTGAATAAATTAATTCTTGAAGAGAATTTTGGTGTATTGGTTGGGTGCAATGGCTCACACCTATAACCCCAGCACTTTGGGAGGCTGAGGCCGGCCGGCCACTTGAATCCAGGAGTTGGAGAGACCTGCGTGGGCAATATGGCGAAACTCCATTTCTACCAAAAAATACAAAAAAAATTAGCTGGGCCTGTTGACATGAGCCTGTAGTCCCAGTTACAGGAGGGTGAGATGAGAGGATCGTTTGAGTCTGGGAGATGGAGGTTGCAGTTAGCTGTGATCGTGCCATCACACTCCATCCTGGGGGACAGATCCAGACTCTGTCTCAAAAAAAAACTAAATAAGCGAATAAATAAATAAAAAATTCTCATGTATAAATGGTACTCTGTATGTTAGATGTTAGTAGCCATTGTCAGTATATGTGACACATGAATTGCTACATGTGAGTATGCACATCCTTTCGAGACTTCTCTGACTTGTTTCAGAGGGTTTTTAATTTACACAAATGATTTATATCTTTCCTCTCTGTCAGCCCTACCACAGCCATCTGTAGGCAGATGGAAATGTATGGGTACTCCCTCTTTTGAAGTTATTGAGTCACGGGAAGGACCCTGTGGTGTATGTTGTAAATTTCCTCTGCCGAGCTTGGTGCGACCTAGTATTTGCCTGAATGGAGCAGGCAAGAGTGGTGGGGTGAGGAGATTCCATCGTGGCTGCTCATGCATTAGTCATTGCTTCACCTTAGGGAGAGACCCAGAACCCTAATGTTTAGTGTTGGGATCTCTTGTTAACTATATTCCTCTTTTTTTTTTTTTTTTTTTGGTAAGACAGTCTTGCTCTGTCGCCAGGCTGGAGTGCAGTGGCATGATCTCGTCTCACTGCACCCTCCGCCCTCCCGAGTTCAAGCCATTCCATGCCTCAGCCTCCTGAGTAGCTGGGACTACAGGTGCATGCCACCACACTTGGCTAATTTTTGTATTTTTAGTAGAGACGGTTTCACCATGTTGGCCAGGATGGTCTCTATCTCCTAACCTCGTGATCGCCCGCCTCGTCCTCCCAGAGTTCTGGGATTACAGGCATATGAGCCACTGTGCCCGGTCAACTATATTCTTTAGAAGGGTATATTGCTTTTTGTGTACTAACAGACTTTAAAATAAAAACTCTTAAGAGTTTCTATTTAACTAGTACAGAAGTACCGACTCTGTCTCTAAAGGGATGTAACTTTTTTGTTAAACAAGGAGCTGCTGTATTTTAGTTAGGCTTTCGATCCAATAGGACTTAGTTTAAACACTGTTTGTCCTATTAGATTGAATTTTGAATGTAAAGAATCATTGGAAGTGTATGGATTTCATAACTCAGTGTACTCTGAGATATGACATGCCTCTGGATATGAAGACATGTTGAAAGTGGTGAGAATTCTCTCAGGCTTTTAACAGGTATGATATTCACAGCTACATTGTCTGCACGACTGTGTTCCTTATTCTTTTTGGTCTGAGTTACTTTGATGGTATAAAATACTTTTATTTACTTCGAGTTTGAAAGGAAGATAAGCCCAAATGTATACGAATCTTCTTGATAGCATGCATGAATTGGGATTATTCAAAGTGAGCATCCTTAATAATTGGAATTATATTAAATAAGTGCCTAGTTTTTACTCATTCCTGTATCAAAAATAAATTAGTAGTATAATTTACTATTAAATGCAAAAAAGTGAAAGCAAAACAATCAGCAAAAGGCTTAACATTTCTCTTAACCCTTGATTTATATTTAGAAGCTTCCACTGATCAGGTTATTTGGAGTTTATTTTGTTCTTACAACCTGGAGATATATTTTATAAATAAGAGAAGTACTAGTTTAATTTTCAACTTTAGAGTTATCATGGGTGAAATGTACTCTCTACTACAGAAAGTAAAGAAAAATTGAGTAATAGATTATGATGTGGCAGTTTTGAACACAAAAGATGTGGAAGTAAATATAAAGTAAATATGGGTAAATCTCGCCTATCTTCTGTTTCAAGTTATCTACGTAGTTGCCATTTTTGTTTCTAGTATCATTTGCATTTGCTTTTGCTTGAAGGATTTTAACATTTCTAACATTAGGTCTGCTGTTGATCATTCAGCTTTTGTATGTCTGGGAAGATCTCATTTCACCCACATTAAAAAAATACTTTTATGATAATTGTAGAATTACATGCAGTTATACAAAATACACCTTCATTTCTTATAGATATTTTTGCTGGGTATAAAATTTTAGGTTAATAGTCATTCACCATCAGTACTTCAGTGACACTGCCCCACTGTCCCGATGTGCATCATTTCTGATGAGAATCCTGTTGTTATTTTCATAGCTTTGTAGGAGCAATCATTTACCACAATTTTCTTTTGAATCCCTTACTGGTTTTAGGCAATTTGATACGATGTGCCTTGGCAGTTTTTATTTCCAGAGTTTGAGATTCATTGAGTGTATTAGGTTTGTAGATTTCATTTACTATGGAAAAATTAGAGCCATTATTATTTCAAATATTTTCGTGTGCATTCGTCTCCCCTTTGGGGACCTAATTTTCATATATATTACTCTGAAGTTGTCCCATAGCTCATGTGTTTTGTTCCTTTTTTGATCTGTATGTTGCATTTTAGATAGTTTATACCCTAAATCTGCTGGTAAGACTATTGAATATATCTTTTATCTCAGACATTGTTATTATATTTTAGAAGTTACAGCTGGGCACGCCTGTAATCCTAGCACTTCGGGAGGCCGAGGCGGGTGGATCACCAGGTCAGGAGTTCAAGACCTTCCTGGCCAACATGGTGAAACCCTGTCTCTACTAAAAATACAAAAATTAGCTGGGCGTGGTGGTGCGCATCTGTAATCCCAGCTACTCAGGAGGCTGAGGCAGGAGAATTGCTTGAACCCAGGAGGCGGAGGTTGCAGTGAGCCAAGATCACACCACTGCACTACAGCCTGGGTGACAGAGCAAGACTCCATAAAAAAAAAAAAAAGAAGTTAGATTTTGGTCTTTCCATAATCTTCAGTGTCTCTAGTAATATGCTTATTCTTTGGTGTTTCTTGAACATGTGGAGTACAGTTACAAGAGATATTTGAGTATATGTGCTATTTTTGTCTTCCATTATTTACAAAACAGTTTTGATTGATTAATCTTCCTCCTCATCAGTCATATTTTCCTGCATCTTTGCATGTCTGGTAGCTTTTTATTACTTGACAGACACTAAATTTTTCTCTGGCTGTGGGAAATGTTCGTATTTCTCTACATATTCTTGAGCATTGTTCTGAGATCTGATTATTAGGGAACAGTTTGATCTGTTTGGATCTTGGTTTCAAGCATGGTTAGGTAGGGCCAAAGCAGTGTTTACTGTGAGGCATTGTTTCCCTGCTACTCAGGCAAAAACCCTTACGAGTATTTTACTTGATGTCCTATGGATTATGTTTACCATGTAGGCTAGTAAGAATGGGCACTATTCCTGGTGCTTTTACAATTTGGATACTGTTCCTGCTAATCCTTTCTGGAAATACTTTCTCTTGGGTAGCTTCCTAACACAAATGTGCTTGTTAGTACTCAGCGGAAGACATGAGGAGCGCCTTTGGCAGATTCCATTGTTGTCTGTGTGGCTCTGGCCTCTGCTGTGCTCTGCCTTACACATTATATCACCTTGGCCTCCCCTTGTGTTTCTCAACCCCGGCTCTGCTTGCCCTTTCCGTAACTGCTGCAGCCTGGACATTCTCTCAGGGCAGTGAGCTGGAGGGATCATTTGTTTTCCATCCGTCAGGGATCACAGTATGTTGCTATATGGTGGCCGTTGTTTTGTGTGGATTTTTAGTTCTTTCAGACAGGCAAGAGGTATAAATCCTGTCTAGCTTCACTAAAAGCGGAAGTTCTTTCTGTTCTTTGAATGTTGAATGAGAGTGTGAGAGAGACACGTACCATCAGGAAATGGAACTAGCCACGGTCATAGCTTTTCATTTAGTTTTGTTAGTCTTTAAAAAAAAAAAAAGGTGAACAGCGTAAGTAAGCCCTGACTCCAAGAAAAAAAATTCAAAATTAATAAACATAAGCATTCGGCCTATAATAAAAATAGTAAACTCCATTCCATAATAAAGCCTGTGACTATTAGAAGTCCTTCTTTGAAGCTATGTAATCTGTCTCTTCCGTTAGGAAGAACTGACCTTAGCCTAGATAATATTGTGCTAAAAATTTTTACCTTAATTCTTTTGAAATACCTGTTTTTAAGGTTTTACCACCCTCACTTGGCAGCTGAGTTAATAGGATTTGGATCTAAGCTTTCACATCTATAATGCCTGGACTTTGCCACTGTACCATGTCACCTTCCATAAGTTGTAGCAAATGTAGGTCTGAATTTTCAGGTGTGTGCATCTGGACAGCAGTTGGCTTGGTGAGCTGTACTGGGGGTGGGGGTGCAGTTTGAACTGGGGTCTGGCCTGGTCCACAACTGTGCTGAGGGGCACCTCTTGCTGTCATGCCTAGTGTTACTCTTCAGCTGACCTCTTCTAGTAAATAATCTCTTCTGCCAAGGGATGTATTCCTTCTTTTCTGAAGTACATGAAATGCCTTGCTTCATTATAAACTGAGCGATGGATAGAAAGGGGAAAAGTTTTAGCTTATCTTGAGCAGAACCTACAGCTCCCGAAATCCTCTCTTGGGTCCTCCAATGTTAGAGGTCCTTTTGTTTAAGGACCCTGGAGAGAAGCGCGTCCAGGAGAGGGCCCAGCTCAGCTGACTGTTGTTTCAGGTAGCTGCTGCAAGTAGATCTGTGATTACTTGTTGATTTTAGTGGGTGGTTCTCTGTCCTTCTGGACGAATACTCTTTTTCTTTACTTTTCCTGCAGTGAGCTGGAGTTGGTAGGTTTGGGGTGGCTCACATCACAGTGCTTGCTTGTGCATATTCACCTTTCCCATGGAAATCTTCCAAGTGTGGGAGGGAAGTTTGTATTTCACGCACTGTGCCTTCACCTTGATCAGCAAGGTGAACCTGAGTTCCTGGGTTTCAGTGTCTGAGGTTGGATAGCACAGAGCTAAGGAAGCGTTTTCTGAGTGTGCCAGCAATTCTCGCTGGGCTGTGCATGCTCTGTTTCCTGGAGGCTGCACATGCTGCTCATCGACATTCGTGGTCAGGTTCTTTCCCTGCAGCAAAAACCCTTGGTTCAGACCTCATTTAACTCACAATTTCTCACCTCTGCTCTAGGGGTACCCAAGATGGTGGCTGTGTCTCCCCACTTCTGCTTCCCCATCAGGAAATAGAGCCCCACCATGGGTGTCTACACAATAGATGAAGCTGGTCAAATAAACACGAAATCTGACTGGTTTTGTGTGGGCTTCCCCGCTCCCCCTCCCTCTCTCAGAATTTTAAGTGCTTGGCAGAATACTGCTTATGTGACTCTGTTTTGGGATTATAAAACAATCTTTTGTATTGCTCCAGTTTACAGGAAGCAGCTCCTTTTTTCTCATTAATGACGCCTGTTGTTGAGTCCATCTTGTCTTCTCATGGGTTAGGCCTACTTGACTATGCTATCAAGGCTTACAGGTGTAGCCTAGTCTTTTTTTTTTTTTTTTTTTTAAACATTTATTTGAGACAGGGCCTGGCTCTGTTGCCCAGGCTGGAGTGCAGTGTTACGATATCGGCACACTGTAACCTCCGCGTCCTGGGTGCAAGTGATCCTCCTGTCTCAGCCTCCAAGTAGGTGGGACTACAGGTATGTGCCACCACGTCCAGCTAATTATTTTCATTTTTTGTAGAAGTAGGTTTTCACCATGTTGCTCAGGCTGGTCTCGAACTCCTGGGCTTGGTTGATCTGCCTGACTCAGCCTCCCATTGTTGGGATTACAGGTGTGAGCCACTATGCCTGGCCTGCATCCCAGTCATCTGTCATTGGAAAGAAAGCTGAGGTCCAGCTCGTTTTTTGAGGTTGGGGACAGGATAGTGGTTTTGGCTTTTGGGAAGAATTGTGCAACTACTAAATTCAGAAGGATTAATATAGGAGGTAGAGTTCAACATCACAGAAGGAAGAGTTTGGATGGGGAATGTGGTTTGTTGGTGTAACACTGTGGGGCAAGTTGTTCCTGAGTCATGGGACAAAGACAGGCTGGTATTTTAAGTTCACTTTTATGGGTCATGTGTGGGTAGATTTGTGTGGCTTACGTGGCAGGATGGACTGCAGGTTCCATTTCAAATTGTTACTACCTAGATCAGGATAATTAAGTCTGAGAGGTACCTCTGTATGCTTGACCTCACCCTGGGCTGAGCACGTACGTTTTATCCTTGGTATGGGATATCTGTTTGCAGGATGCTGGAGAAGCTTGTCACTTCTCATCTCCACTCCTTGCTGGCCTCTGCTTCCCTTGGGGCCGTGATAGGGAAGAGGTGTGAACATGTGTCTGGTGACCAGTGTTTTGGGTTCCTGCAACTGTGAATACCTTTATGGTGCTGCTGTGCCTTTGCAGGTGCCCTGTCTTTGGGTGGAGCTCCGTTTTTGTTTTCCCCAAGACACCTCCTCTCCCGGAGGGTCTTTTTGTTAACCTCTGGTCCCTTTCTCTAGTGGTCAGGCTTCATCCCCTCGTTGGTCTGCGTTGTTTGGCCAGTACTTACTACTTTCACTGCTTAGACATCTGAGCCCGCATTCCTAAACTCTTTCTGGGAGGCACACAGACGTGGATAGACCTGTATGTATTCATCCCTGGCTGCCTCTTTTTTTTTTTTTTTTAAGAGATGGGGTCTTGCTTTGTTGCCCACATTAGTCTCAAACTCCCAGCCTCAAGTGATCCTCCTGCCTCGGCCTCCCAAATTTCTGGAATTACAGTCATGAGCCACTGTGCCTGGCCATTGACTGTCTCTTGATCTTCAAGCCCTTCTTGGCTTATTTTGATTTGGAATTGATTTACACCAGGAGGAGTTCTCCCTCCACAATCCTCCAAATGTTGTGGCTTAGTGTCAAACATGTTTTTCTAGCCCAGTCTTATAATTAACCCTTTGATTAGAAATTAGGAGAAAAGAGCAAAATTTATGATTATAGATTCATATAGACTGGGCTTGAATCTAAAGTAATACTCTGTCCCTGGGGGAGTCAGTTATCTGAAAGAAGAGCAATTTTGCAGAGTGGCTCTGTTGATGTTAATAACAGCAAACACTTGGCCAGGCGTGGTGGCTCACGCCTGTAATCCCAGCACTTTGGGGGGCTGAGTTGGGCGGATCACCTGAGGTCGGGAGTTCGAGACCAGTGTGACCAACATGGAGAACCCCTGCCTCCACTAAAAAAATACAAAATTAGCTTGGTGTGGTGGCGCATCCTTGTAATCCCAGCTACTCAGGAGGCTGAGGCAGGAGAATCGCTTGAACCAAGGAGGCGGAGGTTGCGGTGAGCTGAGATCGTGCCATTGCACTCCAGCCTGGGCAACAAGAGCAAAACTCTGTCTCAAACAAAACAAAACAACAACAACAACAACAAACCAGCAAACACTTACATAGCATTTATGATGTGCTGTCCACTTCCACTGTTTTACATTCCTTACATATGTTAGCCCATTTTATTCTCATAGCAAAATCATTAAGATACGTTATTTTATTATCATCCCCATCCTACCGATGAGAACACTGAGGCACAGAAGACTATACTTGTCTGGGAGACAAGGCTCCCGGTATGTAATACAGACTCAGTAAATGATGTCTGCTCACCTTAAATAAGTCAATGAAGAGCCATCATAATGTACTGATGACAAACAGAGAATAGTATAGTTGTACCTTCAAAATTTTTGGAGTGGCCTGAGAATTCTGGGGTGTGGCAAAGTGATTCCATTTTAACCTTCAGAGGATTGTGACCTCCAAGGAGCACATATGCATAGGTGCTAATTTGTAAATGAAAACGCATGCTAATAGTTTTCTCAGGTGCTGAGATGCAGCTACATATGATTGATTTAAGCCTGTTTTGAGCCACAGAAATCTGCATCCCAGGGAAAGTAGAGAAGTAAATAATTTTTGTTGCGGTGTACTGTGGTATGAATGTGCCCCCCAAATTTCATGTGTTAGAAACTTGTTCCCCAATGTAGAGGTGTTGGGGTCATGAGGGCTGCACCCTCTTGAGTGGATTAATACCTTTATCGTGGGAGTGGATTCATACCTTTATCATGGGAGTGGATTCCTTATAGAAGGACAAGATAGGCCCCCTTTTGTCTCTCTTGCCATATGTTGCCTTCTACTCTACTATGTTAGGTAATGGCATGAAGGCCATCACCATATGCCTGTCCATCAGTCTTTAAAATGGTGAGAAATAAATTTCTGTTCTTTATATGTTACGCAGTGTTAAGCATTCTGTAATAGAAGCCTCAAATGGACTAAGAGCGCAAGTGTGCTGCAAAAGAAAGATGCGTGAAGTTTGTGGAACACAAGCAGAGTGACTAGGGAAATTGCGGCAGCTTCAATATGGTCATGTGTGCACTTCATTTTCCCATATCTGGGAGATGTAATAAGAGCGAGAAAAGGAGGAGACCCTTTTAGTATTGTGCTTTTCTGGGTAAGTCAGTCCTCTTTGACGTCCTAATAGCATGATGTGAGCTGCCAGCTGTGGGTTTCTCAGCCAATCTAATGCAGGGAAACAGGCCTGTACCTGTTTCTGTGAACATGGTAGCTGGGTGCAGTGCAGTTATAGTAATAACATGATGAGCTTCTTGAGTACTGGGCAGTTTGCCTTGGGAGGGGACAGCAGCTACTTGAGACCTGCCACTCAGGAAGGGCCAGAGTTTTCGAGATTGTGACTCTTAATAATCCTCGAGTGGGGCCGAGGTTTGACAAGTGAAGGGTTCTTTGTGCTTCTTAACAGGCTGCTTCTAGAAGGCTTTGTGTGCTTCAGGGCATTCTCTTTACCGATGGACTTCACAAGCTGGCTGAGAGAGAAGGCAGGATTGAATTATAAACTTTTCTTTACCAAGATGGTGAGCTGGAGGCAAGATGGTTAGTTGATATTCAAAAGGACGCACGTGGATGTTGGGCAGGCTGCACATTGGACAGGCCCAGCTAGGCAGACTGGAAATGACCAAGAACCCAGGTAGTTTGTAGAATTAAATGAAATAACCTGTCTCCACACTATGTAGGAGGTTACTATGCTTAAGTGTTGGCTCCCAAATCAGTCTAAGCCAAGATGTGCTCAGAGGCACTGAATCAATATTTGTTGAATGGATGTGGACTGACAGCACTAGCTTCCTTCAGTTATAGTAGGGAGTGGAAGAGCTCCAAGAGGGTTTCCTGTCTTCACCTTAGTAAATGAAAAACAAACCCCAATCTTGCTTGCTTGCTGTTTTTCCAACCCCCAGAGGATGAGGTGACTTAAGCCTAATAGATTCTTGGATAATTACAAGGAGGTCAGGAGATTTTACCATTTGAAAGCCATCAGTGCCATTTTATGGTTTTGATCAAAAGGCTTATTTATAGTATACATTTACATTGTTTAAGTGTATGTGTTTGTTAAAGAATTACATAACTGGCCTGAGTAATGGGGGGTACATCAGCACCTTGATATATTTGGAGTAGCACTTTGCAGGAATGTAAAGGAGGGCTGTGTCTGGCAACCCTTTGTGGCTGTGTGCAATTTATTTTTAACCTTGCCATTTATGCTTATCTTCCTGAAATTGTGTTTTATGAGTTTGAAACCTGGGTCTTCTTTCTTTAACAAGTTCCTGTTCCTGCTAGACTTGGGTCTGTCTCTAGAGAGGTCTTATTAGATACTCAATTCTTCTGCATAAACCTGCACCACACTCTGTCCTAAGAGTTCAGAGCATGTGAGTTGTAGTGTGATGGAAGGAATCGCAAAGCCTGGACCTGCCGCAGAATATTTGCATCCTCTGCAGGTTTAGATGTTGGCGAACACTTGTTGGGACTTCATATTCACCCCCATTATTTGCTTCAGGCTCCTGGCAAACATACTAGCTTCTTCCGCATTTGTTTATTTTCTAGAAAACAAAAAAGGCTGGAACTTCATTTTTATTACTGCAGTGGCCATTTCCTTTTTCTGTTACCTCGGAGATCAGATTGCAGGGATATCACTTCCACCCCCCATGTAAATTATGGTCTAGTATGCTTTGTGGTTGCCATGGAAACTGCTGGATACAAGTTTCTTTCCTTCCTCCTCTAAGCTCTTGCTAGGCTTTTAAACAGTAACATTTTTGTCTCATCCCTTTGCCCTCCTTGCCTTTTCACACCCCCAAAGGACAAGTCTAAACACCACCCTGATCTTTTTCAGCAGTTTCTGACCCTCCTGGGAACATTTGATCAGTTCCTGAATCTTCCTTAGTGTGAATGTGTAGACACTGGTTCCTGGCATCTTACGTGAAAGGCACTAGATGCTGGAATTGTGAGGGCTTGGAGTCACCTGGTTTGTGAAGGAGGTGACAGCCATTAATGTCACTTGTGGTTCACATGTGAGTGCTTATATGGGGTTGTTAGACATACCTTTTTTTTTTTTAATGCAGAGTGCTGCTTGATGTTAATACCTCACTTGACTGCCTAGTGCAATTGCAAGTAGTGCACAGTGCTTTAACTAAGATGAGAATTGAATGTTTCTTCTTACTACTGTCGCCGTATACTTCCTGTTCCCTCACTGCCTCCCTCCTATTTTATTGTAAGATGGGAGTCTGGCGGGTGATGAAAGGCAGCAACCAAAGTGACTTGTTTTAGAAGAAAATTGGGTTCATTTCTGCTTTTGGAAATTTTAAGGAGGGGTTTTTATGGTAAGTGGGTTTTTTTCTACACAATAAGGTAAATATCATGCAAGAATATTTTTTCCTTTAGGCTCAATGGCTTTAATTTGCAATGATAGAATCTTCTTTTTTTGTTAGATATATATTTTTGTTATACTTTAAGTTCTAGGGTACATGTGCACAATGTGCAGGTTTGTTACGTAATGTATACATGTGCCATGTTGGTGTGCTGCACCCATTAACTCATCATTTAGCATTAGGTATGTCTCCTAATGCTATCCCTCCACCCTCCCGCCACCCCACAACAGGCCCTGGTGTGTGATGTTGCCCTTCCTGTGTCCAAGTGTTCTCATTGTTCAATTCCCACTTATGAGTGAGAACATGCCATATTTGGTTTTTTGTCCTTGCGGTAGTTTGCTGAGAATAATGGTTTCCAGCTTCATCCATGTCCCTACAAAGGACATGAACTCATGCAATGATAGAATCTTCTAGTGCCAGGCATGGTGGCTAATGCCTGTAATCCTAGCACTTTGAGAGGCCAAGACTGGCGAATCACCTGAGGTCAAGAGTTCGAGACCAGCCTGGCCAACATGGTGAAACCTTGTCTGTACTTAAAATACAAAAATTAGCTGGGCCTGGTGGCACACACGTGTAATCCCAGCTACCTGGGAAGCTGAGGCAGGAGAATCGCTGGAACCCGGGAGGTAGAGGCCGCAGTGAGTTGAGATAGCACCACTGCACTCCAACCTGGGGGACACAGCGAGACTCTGTCTCAAAAAAACAACAAAAAAAAAACAAACCCCCCCCCCAAAAAAAAAAAAAACTTCTAGAGTATAGTCCTCATTAATTGTCTTGATAGCTCCATCCTCATACTTAAAGCTATTCACAGAATTGGTTGAAAGCAACATCATCCATATGTGATTGTCTTGCCTGTGTTTGGGTGGGGCGAGGAATAGGTAGTCTTTGCTTTCTAGGCTATGTCCACTTGAGTAGGGATGGGTCCTTGTTTATCTTTGTATCCCCAATGGTGGCAGAGTATCTGCTGTGGAATAACAATTTGCATGTTTTTGAGTGTGTAAACAAATTCTAAGAGTAGCTAAACCAACTATTAGGAAAAGGAATCTTTTTCTTGTTCTTTTTTTTTTTTGAGGTAGTTGTGGTCTCACTCTGTCACCCAGGCTGGAATGCAATGGTGTCATCATAGGCTAACTACAACCTTGGATTCCTGGGCTCAAGCAGTCATCTCGCCTCAGCCTCCTGAGTATCTGGGACCACAGGCACATGCCACCATGCCTGGCATACATTTTCATATTTTGTAGAGGTTGGGTCTCAGTGTGTTGCCTGGGCTGGTTGCGAACTCCTGGTGGCCTCAATTGATCTTTGCACTTCAGCCTCCCAAAGTGCTGAGATTACAGACCTGAGCCACCGCACTCCACTGAAAAGGAAACATTTCTAAAGGGGTCATCACATTTCAGAGGCAAATACTCCTATTTAGAATTGTTCTGGTCTTTTGCACACTATCATCTTGGAGGGGGTGTATGCACACGTGTGTGTGTCTGAAGTAAAAACCCATTGGATTTGTTTTTTTGAAGTGTTAGGAAAGAACCGAGTACACGTTTTTGGTAGTGATACATACCGTTTTGTCTCCGGCCCTGCGAGAGAGAGAAATGTACACACACGTTTCTACATTCTTTTCCCTGGGTACAGAAACTCCACATCTGACCACAGGGAAGCCAAAATGTACCGTGTAAATTTTACTCCTTGGTACATCTGATTAGTAATAAGGAAGTGTGTATTTCTAGCCTCACAGCAGGCTTGTGAGTCCTCAGACGTCATTATAATATTGCTGAATTGCTAGCAGCCCTCTCTAATTAGTCATGCCAAGAGAAGGCAAAATTCCATCTTCTTGCATGAAGATTCTCTGGTTCTTCCCTTGGTGCCAACTTAGGGTTAACTCCAGCTTTCTGGACTCTTTCAAATATAAAAACATTTAACCTCTGCATCTATGTCCATGATAATAAAATAATGTCTTATAAGGATGCCATTAAATATATCTGACGTTCTTGCTAAGATTTTGTTTTTTCCTTAGGTACAAGATGTACTTTTGCTTCTTTATCTTCCTGGAGTTTAGTTATCAAGACAATTTCTGTGACATTAAAATACCATGTATGACCACTTTATAGAATATTTCAAGTATGTACAATTGACCTCAATGTTAATTCATTTCGTTTACTATATACAAAATGTGGGAAGAAGGAAAACATTTAAACAGAAAACAAGAACCATGCTTGATACTGAGTTATTTTCCTGCTGTTTATATGTGGTTGCCAATTATATGTTGAAATACATGAGGCCTTTTGAGATGTTGCTTCTCTTATATGAAATACTGTTCTGTTGAGTATATAACAGTATAATAGGCCAGGTGCTTTATTGAATTAAGTAAATTGTTTTCTAATATGATTTAAAAAGTGCACTAAGCAAGCATTGGGTCGGGTGTAGTGAGATGTCCATCTGTGAAGGGCTTATTGATAATCTGGTGATGAAATCGCTTTTGTCAGTGCCTACTTACCTGGGGGTTGTGGGACTTGTGGGGCATGCTTTCCAGTCCAAGCCCACTTAAGCTTCTGCTAACTCTTGGGGGAATGAATGGTCTGTAGGGGCTGCTTTGAGTAACTGCACATGATCCAGACCAGTCTTGGGGTACTTTATTATTCTGTCAACTTGGAACTGTGTAGGATGGGATTCTAGCAGTTTCTAAATATATGTTGTTTTCAGAGCCATTCTTTTTCTGGAACATAGTTACAAATTTGTTCAGCCTGTTACTCAGCCCCCAAGAAATATGTTTGCATTCACTGTGACAGCCTGTAGACTATTGGTACCGTGCAGGGCTGTAATCTGCTTGTTGTTCCGGCAAATACCATTGTGTAATGTGGACTGGCACTTGGCCTTTCTGGAGCTTGTAGTTTTTCCCCTTTGTAGGGAGTTGAACTGCCTTTGCCATAATTTCTCTCCTGATTATCATTTCTTATGCCTCCTGCAATTCAGCCTAATTGAACTGTGCTGGGATAAATAGAGCCCTTACAGATCATGTGAATGTGAGATCATCCCATTCCCTAAATGAGGAATCTATGGCTTAGATAGGACTGGGTGCTGTGAGTCTTCCTGATTAATGTTTTGAAATGATTTAGGAACCCAAATGCACGCTGATGTTTTCCATCAGCTGCGATCCGTATGTCTCATAAACGATGCCTTCCTGCTGTTTGGGTTTTGGGAATTGTTTGAGGCCAAGGAGAGGAGGGTATGGCTCCTTCAGCTTTACCCTTCTGAAGGTCATGAGGAATAATTCTGACAAACACCTTGAAGACAGTGACGGCTTGTGCCTTCTGTGTTGCTGTTACCACTGCCTCCACTACTTTTAGTGTAAACAAGCTCTTTACATATTATTCACATTTCTTGGTTCAAGCCTCAGAAGACCAGGATATAATTTTAAATTGCAATTAGTTAATTGAAATTAAGTTTCTAAAGAAAGTGTTGAAGACTCTTATCTTTTTCCCTTTCAATGAAGCAATTTAAGCACTGTAAGAAATTTACAGATGGCAGTTTGGATAATGACCCCATAGATTTTTTTCCAGAGAGGTTCTGTCTCCAGTGTTGTCCCTTTATTCAGGGACATTGAATCAGAGCTGTGAAGCAGTCTGTTTTGTGGTTTCTGTTGAAATCCTCTTAAGCCAAGTCACTAAAGGTATGCCACTGGAAAGGACTCTTATCTCTTGTGAAATAAATCCAGTAGGAAGCCTGTTCTCAGGAATGCCTGGTTAGGTACACAGGCTCACTGTGCTCAGTAGTGCTCCTGCACTTTTGCTAAGCCACTGAGACCCACAGTTCAGCTGGTACCAGTGTGTTACCGGTGGAGGGTGTCCAGGTTCTTGGCGTTTTGAACAAAGAATTGGACAAAACACACAAAGCAATGAAAAAAAAAAAACACAGATTTATTGAAACGAAAGTACACTCTACAGGCCGGGTGTGGTGGCTCCCGTTTGCAATCCCAGCACTTTGGGAGGCTAAGGCGGGTGGATCTCTTGAGGTCAGGGATTCAAGACCAGCTTGGCCAACATGGTGAAACCCTGTCTCTACTAAAAATACAAAATTAGTCAGGCATGGTGGCTCACGCCTATAATCCCAGCTACTCGGTAGGCTGAGGCTGAGGCATCACTTCAACTTAAGAGGCAGAGGTGGCAGTGAGCTGAGATTGCGCCACTGCACCTCAGCCTGGGCAGACTTGGGACTCTGTCATCCTCCAGCTACTCTCACCTTCAAAAACAACAACAACAACAACAACAACAACAACAAGAAAAGTACGCTCCACAGACTGGGAGTGGGCTCGAAGCCAGTGTCTCAGTAGCACTGGTTGCAGAATTTTCTGGGGTTCAAATACCCTCTAGAGGTTTCCCATTGGTTACTTGGTGTATGCCCCATGTGAATGAAGAGGATGAAGTGAAGTTTCCTGCCATAGCTGGAAAGTTTGGAATGTTACAAAGTTATTTACTTGGGCTAGAAGGTTGGCAGTTTTTCCGTTTGATTTAGTTCTAGGAAGTCCTTAGGCTCCTTCCCTCCAGACCCTGTTCTCCTGCTGCAGAAGCACAGGTTTTTGAATAAAGTTAGATGTTTGGTTTGTATCTAAGCTGTTAAAAGCTACTTAAAAGTGTCTGAGCCTCTCTGTTTCCTTGTCTGATAAATGCAACCATTACACCTTATAGCATTGGCTATAACCCAGTATTTCTCACATGTAAGCGTGCATCAGAATCATCTGGAGGACTGGTTAAAACACAGACTGGCTAGGTCCTGCCCTGAGGGTTTTTGATTCAGTTAAGTCTGAGGTGGTGCCTGAGAATTTGCATTTCTAGTATGCTCCCAAGTGATTCTTTTGTTGCTGGTTGAAGAATCACACTTTGATAAGCACCACTCCGAGGGCTCTATGTGATTTAAAGCACGTATTATATTATTACCCTTAAATAATAAGCACCCATTCTATATATAGTTGCTGGGTAAGTGAACAGTGATTATGTCTGTGGTTAAGAATTTTTAGGGCCAGGTAGCCCCATTTCCTTATAGGGACCTTTTCCTTTGTGTGTCCCCAAATGTTTCCTTCCTCAGCTTGTTCATCTGCCTTGTGCAGAGAAAGAAAAGTAATAATGTCTTTCCTTCCCTTGCGGTTTATTTGAAATTATTTATAGTCTAGTTGTTGGCTGCATGCCTCCTCCCCAACCCCCATGTCTCTCTGTGTGTGTGTGTGTGTGTGTGTGTGTGTGTGTGTGTGTGTATAATTTCAGTTTAGGCAGTCGCTTAGGTGGCGTGCATCCTACCTAAGGGCATGTCATCCAAGTGAAAGTCTTTTCCTGATGTAAGCAACTTATTAGAGCAAACAATGTGATTTAATCTTGGATTTCCTTTGTATTAGGCGGTCATATGCTGGCTTTAATTTTATATTCATAAGATGATTCCCAGCTTCCTGTGGGTTGCAATACATGGTGCTTCCCTTGGCCAGGTCGATGCACCCACTACTGCCCACCCACATCAATTGCATCATACAGGACTGGGGATGTTTTTCTCCATTCTTTTGGGGATATGGGGGGAAAATTTGACAGTGCTTTCTCCCTGATAGTTCTTTTCTCTTATAATTAGCATTAATGGATGATACTGTGGCTGACAATAATGCAATATCCATCATACCCCTGTTTTTTAAATTCTTTTAGGCCCTAAGAGTTTTTCCAGTAGCCCTCACTCTCCAGGGTGTGTGTGTGTGTGTGTGTGTGTGTGTGTGTGTGTGTGTGTGTGTGTGTCAGGAGTAGAATAGGGTTGAGAATATGTATGTGCCAGTGTACTTTACTTTCCCTGGTTTCACATGTTTCAGCTTGGCATGAGACAGTTTATACCCAGTGGGGGAATCTGCCCGTAAAACACAGGTACCTCCGTAAGTCTGTCTCCACCCTTCACTGTGTTCCTAACAGTTTTTTTTTTTATTTTTATTTTTTAAACGAAGTTTTGTTGTAGATCAGAGAATGAGAGATGACATTAAATAATACTGTAGCTGTCCCTTGATGCACAGAATTCATGCTTCTGTGATGGACAATTCCATATACTCCTCAATCAGTGACTTATCTTTTAAAATGGAATTTGTTGTATTTTTAGCCTGTGGGGTTGTTTAGGGTGGTGGTATCTTTCAGAGAGTGTTGCACATAGATAGATTACGAGGAGCCAGTTCCCTAGAGGAGCTGATGGGGAGAGAGATTTTCAGAAAATTCTTAGAAGGGCAAATAGGGTCAGCTGTCATCTTTGTTTATTTTAACCACTGTGAAATGTGGAAGAGAATGCATTGGTTTTTCATTGTCATGACAACAGAGGCTCTTCACACCCCTGGGCACAACAGGAAATGAACCCATTCATTTATCCAAGTGTGAGTCTCAGAATCCCATTATGTGAATTCCATGGAGTGTTAATTCAAGTATTTTGATAGAATGTTATTGTGTATTCTCCAGCAGTATTTAATAGTTGCCTAATCCTACTCAAGTCACTAAATACCCTTCTTGATCTGCTGTTTCCTCATCTATCAGAAGGAGATAAGATTTTCATCTATAGGACAGTGTTTCTCAGCTTTCCGTATCTTGGGCCTTAACCTCTGCTGGAAGAGGACTTTGAAGTTTTGCAGTCTATATAACTCATGAAATTTTTGCTTTCTACTTCTCAAGTAGGTTTGGGTTTCCTTCAATAGAAAAATGGTTTGTTACTGCCAAGTGAGAGCCTTAATTCTGGCTAGTTTATTTTTGATTTCTAGAAGCTCTGTTTGGTTCTTTTCAAATGTTAGGTTACACTCAAATGTTAGTTTCAATGTTTGTTCAGTGGTAGTTTCAGTGTTCACTGTTTCAGGTGTTAGTTTCCTGTTTTTCAAACTTGGCTTTTATTTGTTTTAACATAGTCTGATGATTCAAATTACTGACTGACATTTTCCCAGTTGGACATCTGCTGGGTTTTCCTCATGGTGCTTTATTTCCCCTGAATGTGAAAAGTTGTTTGAGGGGGAATTCATTGAGGCCTGAGATGAAAAAACTCTTCTTACAGAGGGTTCATGTATGTTTTTGCTACATACCTTAGGGTATCATCAGTCCAACATTATTTAAACTAAATTCAGGGCTTGAGAGATGATTTTTATATTCCAAATCCTCGTGAGGGCCGCTTAAGTTTTACAACTTCTCAGGAAAGATATCCAGCCTTTGGGAATCCTAGCTGAATGTAAGAAAGTTGTCTCCTGTTAGAGCCCCATTTTAGGGCTTGGAGGGTGGTAGGATGCCACCTTCCTCCCAGTGCCAGTGCTAGGGAAATCAAGTTCAGGTTTGTTTGTGTCAGAAGCACAAAAGTGGGGTCATTTCTCCTTGGGTAGGTCTGGGTTCTAGCTTTTGTTCTTAGAATTTCCATCAGTAATTTCTTGTTTGTTTATTACCTCATTGATGGCTTTAATGACTTGCTTGAATATCTTGGCCTGCTGTATTCCTGGAAATGACTCATGATGCCATGCTTTGCTACATTTTATTTTTTTAATTTTAAATAAATACATTTTACTAATTTGAAATCGAGTAGATTAATAGTATAAGCTGTTTGGCACATTGGAGTTTCAGTGCCTTGAGGATGAATTCCAAATTTTTTTTTTTTTTAAACTTTGAACTTCAGGAGTACAGAGCAAACCAATCCCAAAGCTAGCAGAAAACACAGAAAAGCTTTGCTGCATTTTATGGTTTCTATTGAAATGGGGAAGGTTTTCTTGTCCCCCTCTCAGGGCGTGCGATGGAGGAGTGGCTCACTTCTTCAGTGCCCCGCTGCTCATACCTCTAGGGGAGCATACAGACGGGCAGGTTGTAGGGCTGCAACCCCACAGCAGTCTCTAGGGGTGAATGTTTACAGCTGAAGTCCCAGTGTGCATGTGTTACAGGGTGCTCCTTTAGTTTGCTGTCTATAGGCGGCTTGTGTTAGCTCAATTAGACTCCCTTCCTTGAGGACAGAGGGATTTCTGTAACCCATGATCCTACCCTTGGTGTATCAGAAGAATCGGATCACACGTGGGCTTGGAGAATGATCGCAAGGTTTTATTGCATAGAAGTACCTCTCAGCAGATGGGAGAGCCAGAAGGGAGATGGTTTTCCCCTGGAGGCGGGCTGCACGCTGGTCGATGGCTTACTGGCCTGCCAGTGCTCTTCTGCGGCCGTGCTCTCCACAACCAGCCGCTTGTGTCGTCTTCCGCTGATGTGTTCCTCAGGACGTCCAGCAGCTTGTGTCTATGTCTTGCTAGGGTCTTGGGTTTTTATAGGTTTTCATAGGCCCAGGATGGGGGCGTGGCAGATCAGGGTGGTCTTGGAAAATGCAACATTTGGGCAAGAAGGCAGAAGTGCCTTCCTCACTTAGGTCTTGGGAGTAGAGCCCTAGCCAGGGGCCACGCCCTTCCTCTACCCAGCTTTTCCCTCCCCACCTTCCCTATCATTTAAAGGGACCATGCTCTTCTATTCCCAGCACTCCTGTATCACTTGTTGCCTACCACCTGCGATGCCCTGTTTGAGAAGCATGATTAGAAAAATCCCAGCAATCTTTTCTGTTTCTAGTGGTGTGGACTCCTGCTTGGAAGGCTTTTCTTGTGATTTTTTTTTTCCCCCATAATGTTTATATTCTGTGTTTTCCTATTCAGTTATAATGAGTTCAGTTCAGGGGAGAATGAGGTTCAAGTGGACTGTGCTTCCCTGAGAGAGCAATTGAGTGCTCTCCTGGTCACATAGGTCTTGCACTTCTGGAGCTCTAAATGGAACCCTCCCAGCATATCCAGGTCCTTCTTAGAGCCCGACTGCAGGCCACCCTGTCCTTCAGCCGTGTGATTTTACGGTTTTACTGTTCAGCTTCAGCATAGATTCTACCTGGAAGCACAGGGGTGTGTGGTCATCTTTTCTTCCTGGAAAGGTCCCTTTTGGTGAATGATTGAGTTCCCAAGCCAATTTCTGTCCCAGAGGGAGGTTGTTTCAGGGACTGGTTGGGAATGGCAGTCTCCACTGACTCCATGGTGTAGTCTAGGTCATACTTTATGTTGTGAGGCTGTGACTGGATTATGTCGCACTTCATGAAACCTAAGGCTTCCTGTTCAGACCTGAAAGGCAGAAACTGTGTCTCCTTCATTATCCATTCCCTAAGGTCTGTCCCCTTTTATGTCCAGCTGAATCACACCATGAACCCTTGGCCTCAGCTCCTTATGCACTGTCCTTTACGCTTACATTGTGGAAGTCCTCCCTTAACCTAGTTAGTTACTAGGGTTGTCTATCTGCAGTGCTAGTTTGTGTAACATTCTCTGCTTTTAAAGTTGTATGACATAAAAAAATAGAAGAAACGTATTTTAAAAAGAGGAACTTTTTCTCTACCCTCTTAAGTTCAGTTTTGGGGAGCCTGCTAATTAAATGGATGAAAGACAGATTAGCAACAGGGAAAAAAAAAACAGATTTAGTTGAGTTCACAAAGAAATGTGACTCTAAGAGGAGGTTAGAATTTACCATCCTAGAATCGCTTGAACCCGGGAGGCGGAGGTTGCAGTGAGCTGAGATCACGCCACTGGACTCCAGCCTGGCAACAGAGTGAGACTCTGTCTCAAAAAAAAAAAGAAAGAATTTACCATCCTAATGGGATGTGGGGGGCAAAAGGGCGATTCTGGGAGGACAAATAAATTCTTAGAAGAGGGTGGAGAAAGGCCACTTAAGAAGAACAAGTGAATTTTTGGAAAGGTAAGTGGGCCCTTAGCAGAATAGATAGAAGATAGAATATTTTTGTCAGTGTCTGTTAGTATTGTTTTCCAAACCCACACAGGTTTAATGTCTTGGGGCCTGTTCTGGGTATGAAGTTACTATGGCTGCTTTTTGATGGTATTTTGGAAATGGGTTGTGGGGTGGTGGGATGGGGAGGAAACTTGAAGTATCCAGCTGGAAATGTTCTCATTTACAAATTGCTGGAGGAGAAGCCTCAGCAACCCTTCCCAGGACTGATATATGGCTGGGAGTGTGGAGTTTGGCAGTGGATTGACACAGTTAAAGATGGATGCCTCTTTGATCAAAGGGAGACCATTAGGGCATGTTGAGGCTGGCGGAATCGGAAAGTTGCATTATAAAGAGGGTAGTTATGCATCCCCCCTCCCAGTGCCTGTCACCCACATCTTTATGAACATGATTCTGCATTTGCCCAGTTGGCTGGCATAACATTCTGCTGAAGTCAGCAGTGAGGGAGATGTACGTACGTAGCTTTTTTCATCTGTGAATTGCAGAGCGTAGAAGGATGTAGTTCATTTCCATGATTCCTCTGCACGTCATTGTTTCTGACCAATGTGGACAAAATGTGAGTATTTTTCTGACAATTCCAACTTCTTTGTTATTGTGGTTCCTCCTGGCAGCCCCCGCTTTAAAGATCCTTTAGGCAAATGTTATCCTTTCTCTTCAATGGTGGCTTGCCTTCCTGTGGTGGGGGCAGCATAGCTTGAAAAGAGCTAGGAAGCAGTTTCCCTCCACAGTATCCTTCTATCTGCTCCATTGAAATCCCTTACTGTGGCCATGCTCGGTGGCTCACACCTGTAATCCCAGCACTTTGGGAGGCCAAAGCAGGCGGATTGCCTGAGGTCAGGAGTAAGAGACCACCAGCCTGGGTAACATGGTGAAACCCTGCCTCTAGTAAAAATAGAAAAATTAGCCAGGCATGGTGTTGGGTACCTGTAATTCCAGCTACTCAGGAGGCTGAGGCAAGAGAATCGCTTCAACCCGGAAGGGGGAGGTTTTAGTGAGCTGAGATCACGCCACTGCACTCCAGCCTGGGTGACAGAGCAAGACTCTGTCTCAAAAAAAAAAAAAAAAAGGTGTGGGGGGTGCTTTTTCTGGTTCAGGCAGTGGAACAGGGGAGAATGAGGCAAACCCAGCTACAGTGCCTCTCATAGGAAGCATCACAACCATTAATTACTCCTGGTGCAAGAGGACTCAGTGAAGCTAGGTTTGAGGTTGGGGTAAAAGATAAGATTTTGGACATTGCTCATTTAAGAAGTTTTTAGCTGAAAAATCTTATCATTGGCTGCTTTCATTGTTGGAGGTTTATAAGCCTGTTGCATGGATCTCTATCCTCCTCCTGTACTTGCACCCCTGCTGTTATGTTTTATTAGGATGTCGTGCAATTTATTCTCCCGTTTCTTTCACTCCTGGTTATACTTTTGATCACCCTTCCCTCTGTTTTGTAATGCCATCCAGAAAAAATGAACAGATAGTGAGGCTTTGTGAGGAACCTACGATGGATATGTGGCTGCAGCCTTCTTTGGAGGGTTTAAGCTGCACTGAAGGAGGCTGACCTTGTGGCTTTATCATTTCCTGTCTACAGACAAGGAAAATGGGCTTAAGCAGGAGGGATTAATGAAGGACTTAATTGAACAGGAAGTCTTTGTCTTTTAGCCCTTCAGAATTACACACAGCTTGGGTGTTTTTATCTTGAGTCCTGTTTAAGAGATTGGACTTCTTTTCTCAGGATGTTTCCGGAAACTGAGTGGGGATCAGAAATTGTCATGGAGTTAAAATGCTAAAGAAGAGGGGTAACAAGCCAGCTTCATTGGATGAGGAGAAGGGCTTGTTTTGATTTCCTCATTCTTCCCAGTCTCACCCCTGGGAGTTTCTGCTACTGGCTTGGCTCAAAGCCTTAAAAACCCATAGAGTACTTTTATAATGTCACAGCAAATGCAAGCATGTTGTCTCTGGAAAGGAACTCTGAGGCACATGTGTTAAACCAGCAATGCTGTACCTTTAGCAGAGTGTTGTTGGTTCCGTGCCTGAAACACAGATAACATACTTGACATCAAGACCCCTTGTGAATCAGAGAGAATGACTTTACCTTCTTGGAAACGTTTTGACTTGAGATGTAGTCAGAAGATATTCTCGTCCGACCCTTTGAGGGTTCATTTAAGCCGTACGCAATTAGATGAACATGTATGTCCTGCAGATACTCACTGCTCATCTGTTGTCCACTGCCGCTGTCTACATATGTGACCTCTTTCAATTTAGTGCACATTCTTGACATCAGGTGGATTCACAGCTTGCAACAGCGGACTGGTCCTTGGCTGATAAAAACTGGGAGGACTTTCATGTTGTACTGAGGCGAGGTGTCTGAGGTCATGGAATGGTTATTAAGATTGTAATCGAGGTAGAATATTGTGAGTTGGAAGGTTTGGGCTGACCCCTTTGCATCCTGCCTCCCAGCCCCTCAGGTCCCTCCCTTTGGTTTGATTCAGTGATGCCATTTGGTTTCTGTTTTGTGGCCTGAAATATGGTACCATGTGCAGTGTTGAATGTTGGGAAAAATTTAAGGCTGCTTAAGGGATATTCTGGGTATTGTTAGAAAGGAAGTTGATTTGCTCACCTTGCCCTGTTGCCCACTTTCCATTGGCACAGTTTCTTTGGGTTGTATTTAAATTTTTATTCCACTAATGTGTCTTCTAGAACTGTTACTACAGCCAGTGACATAGATGCTCAGACACTGTGTCTGTAATAGCTCCGGTTTTTAAGTGGGAGAATGTGCCGTTGTTTCAGCATCAGAGAGCTCAAACAGTCAGAAGGTGGAGGAGAATTAGTTTTCCTAAAGTTCATTAGCTATTAGCAGATTTTTTAAATTATGATTGTGTTTCCTTATCTTAGGCATTTTTAACAAATGTTGTCAGAGACAATGTGTCAGTTATAGTGAATCCTTTTCTTACAGAGCAGACTTCACTCCGCATTTTTGTTGGTGATAGTTTAAGTAATGCCCCATACTTTGAAAATCACAAATGATTAAGGTCCAGGCAACTAAATAAATTTCTGTCAGAGCCCCAAAATGTGGGTTTTCTGATACTTATCAAAAAAGGCTAGATGTTGTGGGTTTTCTGATACTCAGAAAATGTGATAATCAGAAAATGTAGGTTTTCTGATACTCACCAAAAAAGGCTAGATGCTGTGTGTTTTATCTCTAGCCATGTTTCTTGGGATCTAAAATAGCTGGATTGTATATTCCTAGATGTTTTCCATACAAGAACTTTGGGGTGTAATGAGTTGGAGGGGTGAGATGGTATTACTAATAGCGTTGATAGACCTACTTTCTGTAAATAGTGGCTGGGTTCTTAACTGGCACCAGATTTTAGTGCAGGTCCTAAAAATTGGCTAATACTAGTGCTTGTCATAATTTAGCATTCCTTTTTTTCCCCTTAGGGGTGATCCCACAGCTGGAGTGTAAAGACTCGCTATTGCCATCTATTGGTGCATGCTGGCTACTTCATAAGATTTGCAGTGGGTGGGGAAATTGCCTGGGATCCCTTTTCTATTTGTTACCCTTTAAATGAAGAAAATTTCTGTTAGTGAACTTACTGCATGAGAGGGAGGACATGTAAGATGCCAGAGCCCACTCTGGTCCTTCTGGGACTTAGAGGACACTCTGAGTGCCGCCTTTGTGCTTTGGTCTGTCGTGTGCTGAATGGATGGTTAGGACCTCACCTACCGCACAACTCCATCTGGTATGATATTTCTGGTGGGAAGTTTCTGCAGCTATCTTAGAAGCATTCCACTGGATTTTCTTTATTTATTTATTTTTATTTTATTTTATTTTATTTTTGAGATGGAGTTTTGCTCTTGTTGCCCAGCCTGGAGTGCAATGGCACGGTCTCGGCTCACTGCAACCTCCACCTCCTGGGTTCAAGTGATTCTCCTGCCTCAGCCTCCTGAGTATCTGGGATTACAGGCGCCTGCTACCACGCCCAGCTAATTTTTATATTTTTAGTAGAGACCATGTTAGTCAGGCTGGTCTCAAACTCCTGACCTCAGGTGATCCCCCACGCCTGGCCTGGATTTTTATTTTTTAATAAGCTGTATAGCATTGTAGAATACAATTTCTTCTTATATTTCTCTTGCATTTTGAAAAAAAAAAAAGGAAGTAAAACAGGATTCTCGCCTCACAGGGTCATTCCCTTTGCCTTTCCAAACATGCCCATTGCCAGGAGAGTTCTGGCAATTTGCAGTTGGGTGTTGAGTAATCTAAAATTGAGAGACTGCTAGGGTTTTTGTTGAAATGATATTTTAAAAACTAAATAGGGAATCCCATCGAGAGATAGTAGAAAGGCAAATTAACATTTTAACTCGCTCTTCTAGGCTTTTAAAACTGAATGTACTTAGATAATTTGTTCACTCCTTGTAACTACAACAGCCTATTAGAAATTATTTTGGCCAGATCCTGGCTGGATTCTGTAGCTACTTGCATGTGTTACTCTGACTCTTACTGTCTTTATGTAGTCCCTTCTGCCTTAAGATCTATCTGCTTTTTGCTTGAGACTGTCCTGAGACCAGCAGTCTTTGACGAGAAGAGTATTTGTGGCTCTTCCCTCCTGGGCTTGGAGTTGTATCCCTCATAACAACGGGGTTATGCCGTGTGGGGATGGCGGCGCAGACAGCCTTCCATAGGTGGTAAACTATAACTGTGTCATTTGTGACTGACAGAACAAAAGGGCTTTGTTGCCACTTTAATTGTTGATTAATGATGATCCCTCTCAAATTTGACACGGTTGCTTTCTAGAACACAAAAGAAGTCAATGTCAGATGTTTCCTTGATCATGACAGTCATGATTTTCAGGCAGTCTTGGTTCTCTGACATTTCAGGATGCCATAGAAGATTTCAAGAAACATAATTGAATAATTTTATTAATTGAATAAAAAACTGTACTGCATATTACTTTTCATACTGTTTGTGCAGGATGTCACCAGCTACCTGAGATTTATATGCACCAAGTCATGTTTTATTTGGGAAAAAGTTCATATCTTGTAGATATTTAGTGCTATTATCTTCGATTTTTTAATTTTTTTCCTCCTCTTTCCTACCCCCCTAATCCTTCCCTGGAATTAAAAAAAAAAAAGATTCACCTTTCTCTCTGATGCCTGTTTTCCACTTTAGTATTCCAAGGGAGTGAAGTGTCTGCGAGCAAGAATGGTGTCTTCCTGATGTGGTGGTGATGTTTGGATTTGCAAGGCTTGCCTTGTCCTTGGGCTGGCTTCTTCATGGATAGAGCTGATGAATATATTTTTAAGTAGTTATGTCAGCGTTCCTAAGGGTGACTCACAGTTCTGAAGTAAGTTAACGTGTTGCCTAAATGAGTTACTCCTCATTGGAAGGGCTAAGTGGAAGGAAATGCAGATTACAGATTGTATTGCTACTATTTAATCTTTAAGGGAGTAGGGGAGTGGATTTTTGGAATTGTGATATCTTTCTAAAATATATATGAATGAATTTTTCACCTTCCCCTCCACCTTCTAAAGTGCTAGGTGGTAGTACTAGCACTTTAAAAGTCAGTATATTTTGCTGTTTTACTGGCAGTTAGAAAGTTGGCGCTAGAAATCTTTAGCAATACTGACAGTTTGGAGATTTAGATTTTACTTCTCCAAAATAATCAGGACTTTTCATCTACTCTTACGAAATGATAGATCCAAAAGATTTATTACAGAAATTACTACATTCAGGTACCACTTGTTTTTTTAAGAGGAGGTCAAAGATCACAGAAGCTTGGAGCTAGAGAGAGCCTTAGCTTCCCTTTTTAAAATAGTCCTTAAAAAAACCACCTAAGAAAAAAAGACCCAGCTTGCCCTAGGTGACAAGTTAGGTGAACTAAACTCAGGTTTTGTGACACCACTACTCTTTTGCTTGTACCACTGACCAAGCAAAACATCATAATGTTTCATCTTGAGGGGAATTCAACTAACAAAAGATTTCTTTACGCAAATTCCGGCTATGGCAAATGTTTATTCTAAATAGCTTCCTATGTAACTTAATTAAGACAAGTGCTGCAAATATTTAATATCCTGCGGTTTTTTGCATAAACAAAGTGTTCCATCAGTTTATGTGTAAAGCAAGAAATGAGGCTGTGGACCACTAGGGCTCCATCTCCAGAAGTACCATAAAGCAGGCATTCTGCGTAGGATAACTCTGCTTACAGAGCCAGCTGACCTCCCGTTTTGTCATTGTGTGATGCCCTCCCATTCTGGTAAATCAAACCCTGACCGTTTAAAACTGTGGGAACTGGGTGGACCTTGCGCTTAGAAGGATATGGTCTATGCTAGTGCCTCTCATTACAGAGTTTGCTATGAATTGGTCTCTGCTAGCCTCTGGGTTCACTTGAGGATGTGTTTATTTTCTCTTTACTGTTCAGGATGTTTACAACCATTCTGTGTGGTTTGCTCGCAACCGCACTTGCATTTGAATTTGGTGGGCAGCTTGCCCTGGGTAGAGGGTATCCCTTGCCCGACCCCCCACAACCTCCAGTGCGCACACACACGGGCACACTCTTGTTTCTTTGAGTGGCTGCCAGGTTTGTAGTGTGTGTGTCTGGGGGGCGAATGGAGTGGGTAATTATTTTGGGGATGGAAACACAGGAAATTTTTTTTTTTTTTGAATAGGCCTTTCAGCAAGTTGGCAAAGCTTCAGGGCCAGCTCCCACACCGGCACAAAGAGCGCAGCCATGCCGGTCATTTTGCATTTGCCAGACACGAACTGTCTGATTTTTTTTTTTTTTTTTTTTTTGAATGAACAGACCCTCCCTCCCACCCTTTCCTTGCCCTTTGTTTAGAATTGGGATGTAATCTAAATAATTGGATTTACCAGCTTACGTTTTTAATATTGGAAAATTGAGTTAATAAAATGATGTTTTGGCATGTACTTCCCTCAGCAAGGGAACAGCTGTGCATTCACTTTAAGCCGCCTGGTCCCCCTTGCTCCTGCTTGATCCAGCTGATTTGTGTGTCACGCCATGCCCTTCTTGGGTTTGCAGGCTATCAGAAATCCTGGACAGAAATAGGATTTAATTAACCTGGAAATTGCTGTTGTGCCGCAGTCAGGGCTACCCTAGAGATTGAGTGCACAGATAGCAATAAGCTGGTTAACTCTACACTGTTGATGACCCCAGAGGAAACCTGGAGAAACAGTGCCACCCTTGTGTGAAGCTTCTAATGGCAGGATGCCCAGGAAGCTTCTAAATCAATCATTTGGGGAGGAAGGGGCACAGGGAGGGTATTACAAAAGAAAAAAGTATTTGGCATAGGACTGTTAGTTCATCCCTGGGGTTTCTTTACAAGCATGGTCTCGTGATTTATTGGTTAACTTTCCAAATAATGTTAGTGTGTATCTTGCTGTGCTCCTTCGTTCTCATAAAGGTGCTATATATTTTATTTTAACAACAAACAATGAAGATTGATTTTGGTAAATTTTTAAGCGGTGATACCTAACAGCAAGTGAGAGGTGGCTGTGGGAGGCTTAGCAGAAAAAGAAAGTCACCTTCCATGTAGCTTAGGGAGTGGATGGATGGGGAAAGGACAATAGGGATCTTTCCCCCTTCGAGCTCATGCAGCTTGATCAGGAAGTACAAATACTCTCTGATGTATGTGGTGGTCTTGTTGCATGAGGTGTGTCAGGAGCCGCCTCTTGGGCCCAGCGACTGTGGCCTGGGAACAGTTGTGCTGTGTGAGGCCATGTGGAATACAATGAAATGCCAAGGGTTAGAAAAGCGCCTTGTGCCACAGGGTGACTGTCAGCCGGAGGCAGACCTTATTTGGCTTCTGCGAGATGATGGTGAGAATGGGCAAGTGGCATGGTAAATTCTTAAGGGAGGGCCATGTAGGCTGGTGCCTAGTTGGTATTTTTTTGTTTTCGTTTTCAAATATCAGCCTCTATATTCAAGACACAGTTTTATTCTTAACGAAACTGAATTCCTGTCTACCTTCAGGTAGACTTCTGCTGGGATGGCTACTAACTTTACCTGGAGCACAACAATACCAAGGCTCCTCCTCTCCTGTTGCTATTGGATCTGTTTCACAAACATGCACCAATCTCCCTTTTCCTCTGAGTTGCCATTCAGTCTGCCCCTCTGCTCAGATACCATGTGTGTACTGTATTCTGTGATTCCTAAATCATGAGTGATGGGTTGTATAATTCTCAGCAACTATAGCAGTATAGTGTTCCTCCCCTCCTCCTTTCCAGCATCTATGGAGGCCTTGTCCTCTAGACTTGGTAAGGCCTGTATATAGAAGTGGACCAGAAAGAGGAGACTGCAGTAGAGAGTCTTGTGTATACCAACAGAAGGGCAGAGCAATGGCTTTGGGGTTAGGTGGCTGGTTATGCATGAGGTACTGCTTTAGGATGGTCACCTCTCTCCGAGGAGGTGACTTCTGTGCAGAGGCTTCTGTGCGGGAAGTGGCCTCTATTACAGAGTAACAGGCCTGGATTGTTTGCTTCTCTTATCTGGCCTAGAGGATGAGAAGCCGCCAGGCATGGCAAGAGAAAGAGTATTCCAGATGGAAGGAGCTGTTTGGAGTAAGCAAGATCCCCTTGGACCATTCCTGCAATCCCTACCTTTGTCTTAGGCCATTTGTTGCCACATAAAATACACTCTATGGGATCCCATACACTCCCATACACTCCCATATACTCTATGGGATCAAATCCGTAAATGGTCATTCATTTTAACACCTTTTATTTTGAGACAGCTTAAATGGTGTTCACTCAGCGGGGCTGATTTTGGTTATGAATGAGGGACCATGGAGCTCCTTGGCCTGGCAGGTTTTAGTGAGGGAGTGCACACCAGAAGGCTGTGCTCACAAGGCTTTGCCTAACCTGCCACGTGGAGGTGGCGTGGCATGACAGAGACAGCTCTCACATAGGGACCCATAGGTTCGTCTGCTGCTCCTATTTGTTTTGCCATCCAAGCTATGTGACCCAGGGTGGGTCTCACCCTTCTCCTAGTTACTCATGTGTACAGTGAAGGGGATCTTATTAAGATCCTTGAACATAACAAAGTGACCAGCCTTTCTTATTTCCCCAAACAGCAGCTCGTATCCGTCTTCTTCTGAACTTATTTGAACTTTGTAGTCTTTTAATTCACATACACGCCCCAGTGATGATCTGATCTGAAACATCTATTCCCTCACCCCCACTGCGCCAACCCTATGTTGTACCATATTGTAAATAAAATGTTATCCTCTGAATATATCAACATACTTCTTCCTCTGCTGGTTTACATTTACTTGATTTGATCTTTTCACCTTGGCTTGCTGGAGGGCTTGATTTAATTGGTTTCATTGACATAAAGGGTACATGTGGAGTTCCTGGAATGAAGGTGTCTTCTGTAAGGGATCTCCTTGAAGAATTAATAAAAAAAACACATGAAAGTAAATTACACCATGATTGCTACTTCCGTGGTGCGTGTGAAGGACACACACCTTCTCTGGGGCTGTGTTACCCAGGGCAGGAAGGCCCATCCTGACTACATGCAAGGCCCAAGGCTTGGGAGGGCACGTATTTTATTTTTCTCTCAAACATTTATGTTTTTACCTCTTCAACCCCAGGAACCCCGTGCTCTCTCCACCCCAACCCCACAGTGATTCTGAACCTCTTTTATCCCAGTTCTTTTCATTTTTGCTGTAATAATGGAATGGCAGGTAGTATTCTGTTGAAAATGCCAGTCAGCTGATGGCAGGGAGTGAGGAAATAAATGGTGTGGTGGGCGGGTATGCCGCCTCCCCTGGAGGGCTGAGGCCCCACAGGCTGGGTGCAGCCTCACCTTTCTCCTCGTGCTTGCCAGGTGACCTCCTCCTTTACCCCAGGCTTCTGCTGCTCCTGCCATTAGCATCTCTAGGTGCAAATATTGTGAGTTTTCAGCACATCCAAATCACTTTCTTCCATTTTCCTATATCCAGCATTCTAGAAGGAAACTCCTGTCCCTGAAGCCTGTCTGTACTGTTTAGAGGGCTTACTCAGGATTTGGCTGTGCCATTCAAGCTCTTTGGTTGTATGGGGCTCTTAATCCCCACGGGACTCTGCAGGTTGAAAAGCCACACTGCAGACCTACCCTTTTTAGACAATACAGGTTCTTCTGGCCTCTTTATAAAAGATATTGGTTTGTCTTGTTCTTTAGTTCCTGGTTTCATCTGGGTCTCACAAATGTTTAATCACTTGGGAGCTTGGCTTCTTCCTCTAAGGGGTAATTTATTTTACTGCCACTTTTTAATGTGTTATTGCCTTATTTTTCATAGCCTCACTGGGAAAGTCATTAGGCACCAAGCACCTTTTATTTGAGCATTGGTAGGAGCAGTTTATCTTTGAGGTCCTGAAATTGTAAAATATCTCACAGTGTCTCGCTCCGTTGTCTGTGCTTCGTCTGTGTTTACTTGTTTGTTTCTCATTGTCGCTGCACAATCTTCTCATCGTGTATAGGGTTTGTTTTCCCTGACTTCTAAAAAAGCTGTAAACCCTTAACATCCTGTTAACATGCAGGCAATATTTCTATAAAATTCCTGCAATACTCAGAGTGCGATTTGCGTCCATTCAAATGAAGATGTATATATTATGTAATTGCCAATTAAAAATACTTTTCAGTAGAATTAAAAACCAGCAATTTTTCTAAATATGGCACAACATTTCCTTTGTTTTAAAACAGTCTGGGAGGTTGGTGGGAAGGAAAGCCTCATGGGAAAAGCAGGGCAGTTGTGTTGGGTCAGTCTACCTGGCAGCTGGTTGGAATGTGGACCAAGGGTTCTGTAGCCTTCCCTCCTCTGACACTGTGTGCTCGAGACCTGGCCATCACCAGGTGCCTGTGAATTGATACAGAAATTGAGAGCCAGCCTTGAGAAACCTCTGCAGTTTGATGGAATGATTTTGTGTCTGTTGAGTCCCAATAAATTAGGCTTGTGTTTTGTCTTTTTAAATTGCTTTTTGCCCCCTTGTTCTATTTTTTTATGTAATTAAAAAAAAAAAGACATTTGTAACAGATGGAAAATTTAAAAGGGGAAAAACAACCAAGCAGAAAACTGCTCCTCATCTGTGATAGATGAAGCTCTGTGATTGTCGGAATATCCCCGTCACCCTAACTGCCCCCCACTTCATTGTCCCATGTGAAGATCCTGCCTCTGGGCTTCTGGTCTGTCATGACTTATATAGAGGCAGGCAGTTGGTTGCAAAAAAGCTCTCTTTGTTCCCCATGACATAGAGATAGTGGCATTGCCTGATCCCACCCTCCCCCTTATTTTTTAAAAAATAACACTAGGGAATTTCTGTTAAACTTGATTCACTTCCTGCTGTTGCCTTGTTAATGTGACTGTTTCATATCAGTTATTCCTGGGTTCTAAAGTGCTTTTTGGGACAGGCATCATGGCTCATGCATGTAATCCCAACACTTTGGGAGGCCAAGGCAGGAGATAGGCTTGAGGCCAGGAGTTCAAGACCAGCCTGGGCAACATGGGGAGACCCTGTCTTTATCAAAAAAAAAAACCCAGCAACAGCAACAAGCCAAAAACAGCTGGGTGTGGTGGCACATACCAGTAGTCCCAGCATTTAGCAAGGCTGAGGTGGGAAGATCTCCTGAGCCCAGGAATTTGAGGCTGTAGTGAGCTATGATAGCGTCACTGCACTCCAGCCTGGGTGCAGTGAGACCCAGTTTCAGTAAAAAGGTTAAAAATAAAAAAAAAAAGTGCTCTGAATGACCTACATTGTTTGTAGATTTTTTTTAAGGACTATAGATTACCCACTAAGTAGTTGGAGTCACACTTTGTCCGTTTTGGTGGATTGTCAGTTTGTATCAGGAATATTATTAGACGGTGGTGTTTTCGATGGTCATAGGGGAGACAAGAGTAGACACTGCTTAGGACATACAAGGGAATTTAAGGTTAAAATGAGATTGGAAATTCCTCATAACATTGTAGTACTTTATATTTCGGGAGTGTGGAGGATTTATGAGGTTAAATTTAAAGGTATTAGTTTTGATGAAGTAGGCAATCATTGTGTATTTTCTTGTAGGAATTTGTTAAATAGTATAATTTTTTTTTAAATGTTACAGCATTTTGAGCATCAACAGTTTAAGATAAATGCTTACTATTTTATATAATCCACTCCCAACCATGTCTTTAAGGGAATACATCTGCTCTCTTTTACTTACTTAGTTTTTTTTATTCGTTATTATTTTTGAGACGGAGTTTCGCTCTTGTTGCCCAGGCTGGAGTGCAGTGGCGTGATCTTGGCTCACTGCAATCTTCACCTCCCGGGTTCCAGCGATTCTCCTGCCTCAGCCTCCTGAGTAGCTGGGATTACAGGCACGTGTCACCACACCAGGCTAATTTTTGTATTTTTAGTAGAGACGGGGTTTCACCACCTTGGCCAGGCTGGTCTGGAACTCCTGACCTCAGATGATCCACCCACATCGGCCTCCCAAAGTGCTAGGATTACAGGGATGAACCACTGCGCCCGGCACTTATTTAGTTTTATTAGTTAATTGTCTTGAGTGGCATTGCATTATCCATCCTACGTAGTGTTTGGGATTCTGATGAGGTCTATTTCAATCCCTGTACTGTGTGGCTGTTTCTTGGTTCTTTTTGTTGTTGTTTTCCTGCCCTCAAAGAATGTTTTTCAAATACCTCTCTGAGCAGGTCTAGGTGAACAGTTTAAAGTAGGGCCCAGTTTCTCATCCTTGCAAGTGCTCACTATTGCGTGAGTGGAGACCTTTACGATTAGAGGAGGAGGGACTATTAGGCAATTGACGATACATATCAAGTTGATTGTATGTAAAGCAAAAATATGTTCGTGTATTTATTGGTGGAGAGAAAGGGAAATTTCTTATTGGCTACTGTGTTAAAAAAGAACAAACTGGGCTGGGTGTGGTGGCTCACGCCTGTAATCCCAACACTTTGGAAGGTCAAGACTGGGGAGGCTAAGGCGGGTGGATCACCTGAGGTCAGGAGTTCAAGACTAGCCTGGCCAACATAGTGAAACCTCACCTCTACAAAAAATACCAAAATTAGCTGGGCGTGGTGGTGCACGCCTGTAATCCCAGCTACTCAGGAGGCTGAGGTAGGAGAATCGCTTGAACCTGGGAGGTGGAGGTTGCAGTGAGCTGAGGTGGCAACACAGCAAGACTCCATCTCAAACAAACAAACAAAGAAACAAACAAAACACTGTTCCAAGATCTATTAGGATTTGTTTTGATAGAAAGGAATTTCTACGTAAGATATTCAGGTGAAAGGAATTGAAATGTACTCTGTAGTTAACAAATGGTAAGTTAGGGAGTTAGCATAGGATTGTAATGGGAAAGAAGCCTGAAGAGTAGATTAGGGCTATTTTCTGTTTTAATGTCTACCAAATAGTTGCAATTTGACCTTGTTGGCAGAGGGTAACCCAGAATTTGGGATTGGAGGGGGCGTAGATAGACTAGAGACATACCTTTTTTTCTGTAGTACAAACTTGAATTGTTGTAGTGAACTTTTCGTGGCCGAATTTAGAAGTGGCGACAGGGACACTGATGGCTAAATAGGCAAAGGTGACCTGGATGTAATGACACAGAAGAGATGTGGGTATGGATTTGTGACCCCGTTAGATGGACGTATAGGATGTATATAAATACAGCAGGATAATGTAGTGTTTTCTTCTTTACTGTCAGTGGAAATAAATGAACACCATTAAGCTGATGATGTCAGATACCGTGTGTAGTTTTTAAATACTCAGGCAAACATAGTGTGTACATAGGCATGTATTTCTACACACATGTATACACATGTCCATGACACACATTTTATATCCATGTACAAAACATAGTCCTTTAACCAAATTTATTGCGCTTGAAAGTAGGCCTGTGGTTTATGAGAGTGTGAGAGATATAGAACCTTAATTAGGAAGAGTTTGCTTGAAATAGGATCTTTTTTCCCCTTATGTGTCATGATTTTATTGCCGCACGTAGGCCTATATCCTCCAGTCTCTGCTTAATTTATTTTTAATTTTCTTTTGCTTTTGCAGGCCCAGGCTGCAAGCACAAAGGAAGTTTGCTCAGTCTCAGCCGAATAGTCCCAGCACAACTCCAGTAAAGATAGTGGAGCCATTGCTACCCCCTCCAGCTACTCAGATATCAGACCTCTCTAAAAGGAAGCCTAAGACAGAAGATTTTCTTACCTTTCTCTGCCTTCGAGGTAAGACTTTGCAACCATCGGCGGAGGTCTACGTGGAATCTACATGTAAGCCTGAGGTCTACGTGGAGTAACCTTAGCTTTACTCTCTGCCATGTTCATTTTTCTGTCCCCAACCTGGGTTGAGGGGGAATTGAAAGTGAGAAATCCCACCGAGAGAGTGTGTGCTGGGTGTGGCTTTTGAACCATCAGTTAAGTTTTATTTCCTTTTTAATATGACTCTTAACACCCTACTTCCTGGCTTCTCAATGCACAATTATGCAGTTTCTAACTTTGACTTCTAATTTGATTTCTCTGCACCATACCACCACCTTGACACACACACATTGCTGACTTGTTTTGTAAGGCAGTTTTTTTTTGATGCAGGACTTTGGGGCTGTGAAGGCCCCTTTCTTTGTGCTTCCTAAGGCCTGTCAATAAGCCATGGTGATGAGGGACTTACGGTTCTCTCAGCCCTATATTACGTTAAGGAAAACAGTACTGGTACTTTCAGAGTCTAATTGACAGTGCAAATACTGGTCCATGTTTCAACTCGGACCAGTTAACGGAGGCCAGGTGGATTTGGGATCTGCTGAATAGAGTTATTTGTGAAAGTGTTTGTTGCAGTTTCCTTATTACTAAGTTTTCTAATAGCTGTGAGGAAAGAACACAGAAGATTGAGAGAATAAGGAGTCATTTCTGGAGGAATGATAGAAAATTTAGGAAGTCCTGAATGCAGAGAGTTCCTTGGGTGAGGTTATTTGAGAGAAAATGAGCAGAAGGAGAGGGCCTTTGCTATTGGACATCTGTGGGAAAACCTTGAGGTTCATAGTCACTTTTATTTGATAAATATTTTGATAATTTATTATTACAGACAGATTTTAAGTTAACCTTAAAAAGTTTCCACCCATCATCCCTCACTCAATACATTAGTGTGTCTTTCCTTCAAATAAGTACATTTTCCTATAACTGTCAAAGTTAAGAAGTTCACAGTGATACGTGGCCCCCATGCAGTCCTCAAACCTCTGTTTCACATTTGTTCTGAAGGTGCTTTGTAATGTCCAAGTTTAGAGCAAAAGGACCCAGTTCAGAATTAGGCGATGCCATTAATTGTCTGTAGTCTGCTTAATCTGGAAGAGTTCCTCATTGTTTGTCTTTGACCTCAACACTTGAAAATTACAGGTCAATTATTTTTTAGAATGTCCCTTAATTTGGGTGCCTGGTGTTTCCTCATGATTACATTCTGGTTTGTGTTCTTGGCAGGAATGCCACAAGGGAAGTGATTCCTCCTCCTTGTTGTTGGGTCCTCTGTGGGGATACACAGTTCAGTCCTTCCCTTTCCACACTCGTGTTCATGCTGATCATTCGACTGTGGTGGGCCTGTTAGGAGTAAAGTTGCCCGTCTCAGCCTTTGCAGTGTATAAGTGTTAAGAGAGGATATTCTTTGAAACTAGTACATACTTCTCATCATCTTTATCATAATTGTATGCGTATGGGCTTCCTATTTTATTCAAAGGGTTATAATCTGTTACTCCTATTATGTATTCTGATGTTCAGATTGTCCCAGATCACCGCCTCATCCGTGGATCCTCATCAGGCTGGCTTTTTATTCCATTTGACATGTCCCTGTCATCCTTCCAGCCTTGCTTCTGGCACAACAAAATGTTCCAGGCTCATGGTGTACTTTCCCGCCCTCAGTCCTGGAATTGGCCATGTCTTCAAGGAGCACTGCTTTCTTATAGGGATAAGTGCTGTTGAGGAGCCAAGATCTGGGCACTAGGGATGCTGGGAACTATGGGAATGTCATTTCTCCCAGGTGCTCTTAGTAGACTGAGGTTGCATGTTTATAAGGGTCTATCCGAAGTTCTGTGTATATTAAAATCCGTGAGTTAGCAGCCATACCTCCAATTTCAATTTAACACTAAGGGAGGTTCATGTGCATTCATCCCTGAGGAACTTGGCTCCTGTAATCCTTAATATACTTACTTGCTCTGTCTTTTCAGTGTAATCCACCTCCCATCTCTGCTTCTCTGCTGCCCCCACGATGGGAAACTCAGCCCTGACACCCCATATGGTTGCTCCTCACCCCCTCTCCTTGCCCAATTGCCCTGCCTTACTAATTGGCTTTGGGACTGAATTGTTGGGGGGGAAATTTTGACATTATAGGATAGTTCTTGGTGATTCTTAACACATAAGAAAGGAGAGTTATTAATGTATTTGTTAGAAATTTTGTAGCCCTTGTCGGTTGTTGAGCCTTGAAAACAGGGAGATACGAGGTAGGTGGGGTTCCCACCAGTTTATCTCCATTAGCTTTTTTGTTTGTTTTTGGAGACAGGGTCTTGTCTCATATCAAAATAAGAAGTTGTCCACTTCTGGAGTGCAGTGGCACAGTCATGGCTCTAAGCAGCCTCGACCTCCTGGGCTCAAGCCATCCTTCTGCCTCAACCTCTCCAATAGCTAGACCTACAGGCGCAGGCAACCACACCCAGCAATTTTTTTTTTTTTTTTTGGTAGAGAAGGAGTCTTGCTGTGTTCCCCAGGCTGGTCTTGAAGTCCTGGGCTCATGCAATTCTCATGCCATCTTGGCCTCCCAAAGTGCTGGGATGACAGGCATGAGCCAACATGCCTTAGTTTTTACATAGATTTTGGCTGAAAGATTCTCCTGATCTTGCATGTTGAGTATGAAGATGGAAAGGAAGCTGTGAGAACTAAATATGACAGAATCTTGTGCTGGATTGGCTGTATATAGAGAGAAGAACATGGCCACTAGACTGTGAGGCTGGTAGAGTGTGGTGTGATGATCAGGAATGGAGAACGAGTGGGATGTGTACTCAGAAGGATGTATTTGCCCTAAAGGAATCTTTGAAGGATCAGCAGCAATGTGATTCAGGTATATCTAGCCGCGCTTGGTTGTGCCGTCTATAGTCCATCTCTGTGGAGGCTGACACGGTGGAATCCTTGACACCTGGAGTTTGAGGCTGCAGTGAGACATGATTGTGCCTCAGCACTGCTGCCTTGGCAATTAAGTGGCACTTTGTCTCAAAAAAAAAAAAAAAACAATGGTGATATGGGACTCTTAATTTGTGACTTTGGTCTTGCGTGGCTTAAAATTTTTTTTTTTAAATGACAAATAATAATTGTACATATTTATGGGTCACATGATGATTTTGTGATACATGTAAGTGATCAGATGAGGGTAATCAGCATATCTCATCTCAAACATTTATAATTTCTTAGTGTTGGGAACATTCAACATCCTCCTTCTGGGTGTTGCTAACTGTAGGCATCCTACAGTGGGATATAACACTAGAACTTATTCCTCCTATCTAACCATAATTTGGTATCCTTTTCTAAATATGCATGGCTTTTAAACGTAATTGGAGCCAGGTGTGTTTTTTGAGACAGAGTCTCACTCTGTCGCCCAGGCTGGAGTGCAACAGCGCGATCTTGGCTCACTGCAACCTCTGCATCCTGAGTTCAAGTGATTCTCCTGCCTCAGCCTCCCGAGTAGCTGGGATTACAGGCGCCCACCACTACGCCTGGCTAATTTTTGTATTTTTAGTAGAGACGGGGTTTCACCATGTTAGGCTGATCTCGAACTCCTGACCTCAGGTGATCTGCCTGCCTCGGCCTCCCAAAGTGCTGGGATTACAGGCATGAGTCACCATGCCCGGCGAAGCCAGGTTCTTTAAAGAGTAACTATGACTTAACTAGTTTGGCTACTTTTGGGAAAGGAATTTTGATGTCTAAAATTGCTGTCGGCATTTTGCTTAGTAAATAATGAAATAATAGTTTCTGCCTCCACCAGTCCACCAATCCCGTTTCATTAGGATGTCTGAAGATTGCTCTGTTGATTATGGAATTTAGTTATGCAGGTCTTTACTATGGCGCAATTGTGACTGTTGTGTTTAGTTCTCAAAGGTAGAGAAGGAGAGAAACCCATCAGGGAATGTCTCAGTGATTCTGTGTAGAGAGGAATATGTGTGTTTGTGCTACATGTACTTGTGCGTGCACTATCTTATAACATTATATTTTCTGAGGTTCTGGGAAACCTGGAGAGTCTTTTAGTTGCGGAGGCATGCTTATTTATTGTTCAAATAAATGCCATCTAGAGAAAACATTACCAAGTAAGTACCTGGCTTTGAAGTTTCAGGATTCCAGACAGAAGAGAATCATCTTTTCATAGATAAAATTTACTTCTTTTAGATGTCAAATACAAAAAAGGCTTAAATAATTAAAGCCTAGGAGATGTTTAAAACAAATTTAAAAAAATGCTCTGAACCTTTGGAAATGAATTTCATATATGAGCTAGGCAATAAAAATAGGCTTTGTTATTTGTTTTTCTGTTCGTATACAATATTGTACTGTTTTGCTATTTCTTTTATACTTTTTTTAGATCTGAGGTATTAAAAATGAGTCATCCTAGCTTTAAAATACCATTTTTTTTTCCCGGGAGGATAAGTGTGTTTACCTGATCTGACTCTACAAACCCCAAATGACAGATGATGCTTATTATAGCTTCATGACCCTGAAAATCTGATGGATTTGGTGGCCTTAGATAGCATCTTTTCTATCTAGGATATCTAGATAGCATCAAGATAGGTAGTTTCTTGAGCTAATTAAAACCTGTATTTCAGTGTGTACAAAGGTTACATAGTGATCCCTGTTGTTGTGGTACTTTAATAATTTTATTTCCATTTTAATTTAAGAAAAACAGGATGTTAAGCTTTTTTTTTTTTTTTTTTTTACAATCATAAAAGTAGTTCCTGTTCATCTTGGGAATATTGGCAGAAGAAAGGTAAAGAAGTAGGCAAAAGAATGCATTCAAAATAGCATCTCCACCATCTCCCAGAGACGACCGCTGTTAATTACCTTGTTTGTGACTATTTTACTGAGCATTCTGTGTGCATGTATAATACATATTTTTCCTGAAATGATATTGCATTATACTTTCGTTTTTGCAGTCTGATTTTCCTACTTAACACTGTCACAAAAATGCCTGTCATTTCATTTTAATAGCTTATGTTCCATTTGGTGAATGTCTCATAATTTATCTAATTCCTGATGCACATTTAGAGAGATTTCCACCTTTTTGATATCCACTGCTAATGACGCATATCCTTAGTTAAATCTTCACCTTGTTGAAGCCCTTTCAGGCAAAGTTGACAGTTGGGAATGCGATTAACCTTCTTACACCTGCATCCTAATTCTGTTCTTTTTTCGTGCTGATTCCAAAGCAAACATAGCTTGTCACATCCCCAAGCCTCTAGTGTTCACCATAAAGAGCTCAGTCAGCCCATCACCCTTGGGTGACAGCGAGCACTGTGAGGGGTAAAGAAGGCAGTCTTTAATATGCTCATTATTTATAGGGAAGAAAGTCTGGCTGCAGAAATAATGAAGGAAGCAAATCAAACACCTGGAAGTGATGTTTGTTGCTAAGGATCCAGGTCTTTTTTTTTTTTTTTTTTCCCTTCTCCAGTCCTCAATTATTACCTTTAATATTCTCGGCACTTCTTTGGGATTTGGAAGAGAATAAATCGTGAGGCCAAGGGAAAGACAGCGAGTGGAGTTCTTTAAACCTTGTTTGTTATCTGTTAATGACAGTGAGAAATCTTTGAGATGGGGAGGAAAAACCCTATACTATTAATACTGGGATTAGTATAGATATGTAAACACCCAGCTAGTCATTCTGAGGTTAAAAGCTTTAGAAATCTAAAACAAATTTGTTTTAAGACACTACCAGCTAAGTCTGCAAGGCTCTTTCATTTCCTATTTAATATTGTGACCTAAAATTTCTACAGGAAAGGAGGATGGGATGAATAGTGCAGCCGGCCCGAGGTATTTGCCCGCAGTGTATTTATCTTTAAATAGCTGCTTTGAAGGGGTCCACATGTCTCTTGCCAGAGGCATAATTAGTATCTTTCACTGGCACACGCGGGGAAGAGGGTTTTGCGCTTGCTGCATGCAGTGATTCGTACCATCGCCGTATTCCCTGTCACCACTCTGGTTATTCTTAATGAGTTCTGTCGTCTCCTCTTTGTTCTGACTATGATTATTAACAGATTAAAAAGAGCTTAATGTAGCAGAGCACTGGCAGGTTAAATGATTCTCTTATTTACATTTTCCTCTTTACGGGGCACTGCAAACAAGGGGATTCCCAAAGGGGACTCCTGAAGCATGCAAACCTACATACACAGTTCATTCCTATGACCGTGGGCATCACAGTTCAGCGTCACGGCTCGGCACAGTGAAGAGAGTGTTATTATGGGGAGTTCCTCGTAAATATCCTTACTGTCAGCCGTTGTGAAGCAATGCTGTCTTGTTTTGGAACTGCCTGCCTTTTGTTTCTTCTGTCTTACAGAATCTTTAGTGATCAGCTGTCATTCAGTTGCTAATTAATTCAGCAAACCTTTATTAAACTCTTTTTGTATGCTAGACACCTAGAAAACAGATTAGACACAGGAAAGCAGTATTGGTGGTGGGTGAAATTGAGGATATAACAATAAATGCGTGAAAATGCTGGGATAGAAGTGTGTACCCATTAAAGCAGGAAGGGAGAGGCCCTGGGATGGCTGCAAAGGAATGCTGACATTTGCTGCGGGTCTCCGCGTTACAGTGCATTAGGAATCTTTGCAGAAAGAGGATAGTGCTGGGAAGGGGTTCTGCAGAAGCAACTGCCAAGGCATGGATTGATGTTGGAGGTCCTGGAGTTAAAGCAAGAAAGTTAGGATAAGCCTCAGATTCTGCATGCCCTGGGCTAGTTACTGGAGTATCCCTTGGCGTTCTTCAAGTCAGGGGTGACATCATAATACACCTATGAGGTTAGGAAGATGTTACTGGCAGCTCTGCAGAAAATCGATTGAGGCTGCAGGGAGTTCTTTCTAGGGGCATTGGCAGAAGGCTGGCATGTCTTGGGCAGATGATTTAAATATTTCTCAGCCTGAGCTTCCTCATCTGCGAAATGGATATTCTAGAGTCTATAGCACATAGTTGTTGCAGAGCTAATGGGTATGAAATAGCCCAGAATTGATACCTGAGGCGATCATCCACATATAGGCATCCTTTGATAACTCAGAGGACTGATTTATGGACCTCCTTTTGATACCAAAATTCATGGATACTCAAGTCCATTATGTAACATGGCACATGGTATTTGCATGTATGCACATCCTCCTGTATACTTTAAATCATCTCTTGATTACTTATAATACCTAATACAATGTAAATGCTGTGTAAATTTGTTAGATAATATTGTTTAGAGAATAATTACAAGGAAAAAAAGAGTCTGTATGTGTTCAGTAGAGATGCAACCGTCCCTTTTTTTACCTGAATGTTTTTGATCGACAGTTGGTTGATTCCATGGGTGCAGAAGTGTCTGATACAGAGGTCCAACTGTACATTTATTTACCATTTTTTCCAGTGAATTGAGGCAGAGGTAGTGGAGAGGAAGATTATTAGATTTTGGATTTAGGTGGAACTGTCTAAAAGACCAGCTGAATCGGCCACAGGTAATAGAAGAGACAGCCAACCTGTGGTGTTTTTTCTAAAGAGCGTTGCTGGCCTCATTGGCAAGGAACACATATTTTGATGTGGTCCTAGCCTTGAGTATTGAGGACTAGGATTTCTAAGTAGGGCAAATGCAAAAGCCTGGGGTGATTTAGAGGTCACAGAATGAAAGGGGATTAACCTGCCAGAAAGCAATTAAGTAATCCCCCAATTGCAAGGAACACTATGGTGCTAATAATGAGCTTCCTTGAGCAAAATGGGAATACTTTACATTATGTAAACTCTTTGGGGAGGAAATCACACTGTCTCCAGTGGTACACAACTTTTTTTGAGGGTCTCTGGGAGTTGTTGCATCTTAGTTTTTGAGAGCAGCAGTAGTGAAAGTGTATGTTTGAGAACGGTGTCATCACTGCCTAGGGGCTTTCAGTGGCCTTAACGTTCTGCATATGCTTGGTTTTCTCCTAGAGTCAGTTACCTGTTTCATTTGTTGGGATAGTTTATCAGTTAATAATGAAGAAATCTGAAACCCTGAAATTTTTGAGGTCTGAGGAGGGGAAGGATGGATCACTTTTATTGGCCCTGTGACGTTGATCAGATGTTATTAATAAGACTGTAGGTCATTTTGCTGTGAGGATTCTCCCTGCTACAGGCCAGCTGGCCTCTGACCATGTTGTGCCCTCCCTGAAGATAAGGCAGGCTTCCTTTTTGCTGCCAGTGAGTACTGGCACAGATTCAGTAGTACTTCTCAGAGTCATCTCTGGCCTTCTCCTTACTTTCTAGAGAGTCCTTGAGTCTTTCTGAAATCCACTTAGAGAACATGGAAATAAGACTTTAAGTATGGCAGTGCTGTTTTGTTGGCCAAGCACCTTGCTGACTGAAGGGGTTTCATTTATAGCACTAAAGTCCCTGGTGTCTGTGTCCCGCAGGGAAGTTGAGTATTCAGCTTCTCCATTGGGAACTGAGGAAGGCCTCACATGATTCGCACAAAGACTGTTGTCTGTAGTGGCTGTTAGAATGCTCATTTTGTTGTTGTTGTTGTTGTTGTTGTTGTTTTGTTTTTTGAGACGAAGTCTCCCACCCTGTGTCACCCAGGCTGGAGTGCAGTGGCGTGATCTCGGCTCACTGCAACCTCCGCCTCCCATGTTCAAGGTATTCTCCTGTCTCAGCATCCTGAGTAGTTGGGAATACAGACGTGCCCCACCACACCCAGCTAATTTTTGTATTTTTAGTAGAGACGGGGTTTCACCATGTTGACCAGACTGGTCTTGAACTCCTGACCTCAGGGTATCTGCCCACCTTGGCCTCCCAAAGTGCTGGGATTACAGGCGTGAGCCACTGCACCCAGCCAGAATGTTCACTTTCTTACTGGTTTCTTCTTCTCCACTTGAGATAATACCGTGATGGCTTGAGCACCATCATGGCTGCTGCTATGTGGTATGATTTCTATATTCAGTGAGATGAAGCGAACCATAGATAGACCTTGTGGCATTTGACTGGGTGTGTATTTGAATGTGTTTTAAATTGCCAGTGCAGACAACAATATAGGAAGGGTTGTAAGGGGAACGTTACAGTTTTCAATGACAAAGATGCTAGATTAGCGTGGGAATAGGAGATTGGGAGGGAAGGTGGTATGATAACCATTGTATTCTCCTTGTGAAGTCCCACATGTTAATTGCACTTGCAGATAGAATACTACCCTAATGTCGGGAATTTCCTATTTGTGGGATTAGATAGGCACACCTGGGTGCTTGTTTGCACTAGTTCTTGAGAGCTGTAATCCAGGAGGAGGAGGGAGGGTTGCTGAAGGAAAGACTGGCCATGCATCTAGGAGGTCATTGCGTCATCCCTCCTTGTTCCTTAACAAAGACCAAAGGTTCAGCTTATTCTAACCATTGAGTTCATTTTGCATTTTCATCCCCTGTCTCCCAGATTCTGGTCACCAACCAATCTAGTTACTTTCCTATTTGGGAAAGAAGATATGCTGTCACCTATGGAAAGAATGACAGTATGATTTTATACCTATGAGCATAATAATATCACCTTACTGTGAGTCACTCAGCTTGCTTTTGCCTATGTTTGGAGCCATAAAAATGTTTCGACTGAAGACATTATGCTCTGTATACAGTTGAGTAACCTCGAGTCTCATGGCAAGTAAGCATCTCCCAGAGCCATGGCCTCATCCTGGAGTCTTGGATCCCATGTAGAGTCCCTTCAGTGATGGTATCTTTTTTTTTTTTTGGAAATACCTATTTAAAAAGAAGTACATTCCCAAGATGAGCATGATTGGATAGGCACCTCCGTATTCAGTAAGGAATAGGGATTCCCTTTGTGTTTTGCTCATGCTATTGAGGGCTGCTTCCCTATCTCTGCTACACAAATCCCTCTTCATACCAGAAAGGACATTAAGTGAACGTTTTACATTCATTTTAATTTTAACCATTACCTTTCCTTTAGGGCAATTGATAGTAATTTTGTCTTGATACAATGGAGATAAATTATTTAAGACATGAATGCAAGTCACCTTACAGATAATAATAGCACATGGAGCATCTGGATCTGGCAAATACTTTTAGGATGGTAGGCAAATGAATGCGAATTGGGAAATTCTGTTTTAATTTCTTCCCTAATAAGTTGTAAAGTCAGACCAGGAATGGGCAGAGATTGGCACTGGACATGTTATATTTGTCCCAAAGTCTTTTAGGGAAGTTTGTGTTTACATGTTGTGCATGCATGAACATGTGAGATGAATGTAGACAGCTGCCCTGTTTGAGTCTCTGGTGCTTTGAACAGTGCTGATACATACATACGTAGATTGATGCACTAGGGTATTTGGGTGCAACTGCTTTCTTCTGTGACTTCTTTCATCTTCTATCCGTTGCCCAAGTCCCTGCCAGCTCACTTTGAAGTTTTGTTTCTTAATTTGATAGTCGGGGTTGATTACTTTTCATTCTGTTTATGTATCCCGAAGATGAAACACAAACTCAGTGGGCCAGCCCCATGGTAATTGGGTCAAGCAATAGAATTTGACTCTGCAGCTAAATGACAGTGCACAGGGAATCCCTCTAGGGTCTTTCCAAAATACAGCCAAGCGATGTTTCGCTGCTTAAGATCAAGAACTGATCGAGGGAGGGAAGATAATGGGCAGGAGGGCTTGTCTGTGTACATGATTCATAGAGAAGAATCCAATTTTATAGAAACCACAGCCTAAATTAGAGAAAGCAAGCTTTTGGATTAAAATGATCTCTGTTGTTGTTGTAACATACCACAGTTTGATTTTTGTCCAGATGAAAACATTTGGTTTGCACTTCAGTAAATATTGTGGAGACATTGCCAGCTAATTCTGAAAAGTAATGAAATACGGCTTTGGCAAAGAGCAGATGCATTCCGTACTCTGATTGCTCTTATCTGATCCAAGTTCAGATTTTTTTTACATTTGCTAATGCACTTGAATAATCGGGAGAGAAAATCTGCCTGTAATTTTAATAGGAAACTGTCTATATTGACTATACTTTTATAATGACCACCCATAAAGTCTTCCCCTGCTCCCCCTGAAAAAAATCCCACACAATTCCCAAACCTCTAAAACATACAGCTTTTGTTGGTTACTTTTCTAAAATGAGAGTTTGTAAAGGAGTGATATGATGTGGTGTTCCATGTGAGGAGTCAGCCTCTCTCACTTGCTAAATAATGTGAACAGAGCTTGTGTTTTTGCCATGCAGAGTCCACCCCTGAGAACGCAAGGTCATGTGGGGTTGTGGAGCCCTTTCCTTTTTTTTTTTTTTTTTTTTCCGAGGTGGAGTTGCCCTCTTGTTGCCCAAGCTGGAGGGCAATGGCACAGTTTCAGCTCATTGCAACCTCTGCCTGCTGGGTTCAAGTGATTCTCCTGCTTCAGCCTCCCTAGTAGCTGGGATTACAGGCATCTGTCACCATGCCCAGCTAATTTTTATATTTTTTAGTAGAGATGGAGTTTCGCCACGTGGGCCTGGCTAGTCTCGAACTCCTGACCTCAGGTGATCCTTCTGCCTTGACCTCCCAAAGTGCTGGGATTACAGGTGTGAGCCACCCTGCCCAGCCTGTTCTGTTTTCAAATACGTCTGCTAGATACGAAGTTTCTACCGACTCAGCACAATATAATTACGTAATGCATCCATTCACCCATTTCATACTGAGAAATATGCAATAGTTTTCTCCAGTGATAAACACCCTGGGCTGCTATCTGACTTGAGGGGTTTGAAATATCCTTTCTTTCATCCTGTTTGTATTGAGCAGATTCTTCCTCCTCTGCATTTATTTCTAAATGAGATAATCAAGCTGGTATGTAGGTAAAGAGGAAATAAATGCTCTTTATATAAATGTCTTAATTAATTTTAGTTTCTTAGATGCTTTGTGTCTTATGCATTTGAGGTTGTTATTTAGCTATTTTCTAGATATTAGTCCTTTTCTATCGCTGTGACCATTTTTACTTTGGCATGAAATAAGAGATGATCTTACTGCATTTGTCTCGAGGAGAAAAAAAGAACCTACTTTGGCTTCATTTTTACCAATTCTGTGGCTTCTCTGGGTCTGGAATGCCAGTTTGACCCCTCTGTGATTTTACAAGTGGACATTCCAGCAGAATTCTTAGAGGGATTTACAGCAACCACGTGGTGACAGAGCAATGGCATGTGCAGCGTTAGACTCTGTTGGCTTTATTCTTTTGTACCTACTTCTGTTTGTCTATGACGTTGATGAGATGGACAGGTATGAGGGTGCCCGACCAAATTCTGGAGGTCTGTTCCTTCTAGGGGAGATGCCAGTTGTTCATGAGTGCTCCCCCTGGTGGATGGGTGATGGATTGGCCGTGGCCCTTGGAGGATGATGCCAAGGAGGACAGTCAGGCCATATCCAGGCTTGGGGAGACAGTGTTGTCCTTGTGGGGTACCCCCCAGTGAGAAGAAGGGGTACAAGCTTAACCTCTGAACTAAGGGTACTCTGGTGGTGGTTAACTGACCTCCTCCCCTGGAGTTCATTTTTATTCTGCTTCAATCCCTTTCCTACACTTTCCCTTTTCCCAGTCTTCCTTCCATTCAACATATTACCTCCTGATTCCCCATCTGATTTACGAATCCTTCATTACCCATTTTTCTTTGTTGATTCTTTACCTTTAGATCCAGACCAACATGCCAATTACCTGAATAGAAGCAGAATCATCTTCTAGGTTGAAAACAATCCTTTTTTCCTGTGTCCCCATATGTAGAAGAAATTGTGTTCTTTCTTACCTCTGACTTCAGGGCCAGTTCCATCAGAGGGACTTACTACTATTATAAGGTTTTACTTTGAGAGCAAGTTCCTCAGAATTGCCCTTATTCCTCACTGGTCTTCTATTTCTAATCTTTCTTCCATTTTAGCCCCTCACTTTCTTTCCCAGCACCCAGCAGGTCACATCACATATTCGTATTTGCCGAGGAGCCATTAAAACAAATCCATTCATAATGTTGGTTGTTTTCTGCTTTTGTTAAAAAATTATCGTCTATGGGCCGGGCATGGTGGCTCACTCCTGTAATCCCAGTGCTATGGGAGATCAGGTGGGAAGATCACTTGAGGTCAGGAGTTTGAGACAAGCCTCGGCAATGTAGCGAGATCCCGTTCCTACAAAAAATGAAAAAATTATCTGGGTTTGGTGGTGTGCACCTGTAGTCCCAGCTACAGGAGGCTGAGGTGGGAGGATCACTTGTGGCCAGGAGGTCGAGGCTGTAGTGAGTCATGATCACACCACTGCATTCCAGCCTGGGCGACAGAGTGATTTCTTGTCTCAAACAATATCTTATCCTTTGTAGATATCAACAAAGTCTGGATGCTGAACTGAGCGTCTAGATATTTTCTCCATTTTAGTTCTTTGCAACATAAACTCAATCCTCACCCTAACATAAACTCAATCCTCACCCTTTCTCTCAACATCTTGAGTGCAAGGAATGTGATATTTGCTTCATGCTGCTTCTCTAATGTTTGAGTTTTTAAAAAAATCCTCAACAGATCCTGTTAAGTGGAAGTTAATTCCTTATTTCTAATGTGCTTCACATGGATTTTTACCTGATTCTCTTTGAATCTTAGAATATTTTTATTGGATCTTACTGCTGTATTTTTTTTGTTGCTGTTTGTTTGTTTGTTTGTTTGTTTGTTTTTTTGAGACGGAGTCTTGTTCTGTCGCCCAGCCTGGAGTGCAGTGGCATGATCTCGGCTCACTGCAACCTTCGCCTCCCGGGTTCAAGTGATTCTCCTGTCTCAGCCTCCCGAGTAGCTGGGATTACAGACATGCATCACCATGCCCAGCTAGTTTTTGTATTTTTAGTAGAGACGGGGTTTCACCATATTGGCCAGGCTGGTCTCGAACTCCTGACCTCAGGTGCACCACCCGCCTTGGCTTCCCAAAGTGCTGGGATTACAGGCGTGAGCCACCACGCCCAGCCTTATTGCTGTATTTTTATATTGCTCTCACATGGCCTCATTTGTGGAGTTTATTTCCTTTGCAACAGAGGGGAGAGAGGAAGGCTGGAGGGGTGATGGCCCTCCTCTTGAAATACATGCCTGTAACAGCTTTCCCTCCTGCTTCTCCTGTTTCCTTCTGAAAAATGGTTGAATTGGCTGCAGAAGTTTCTATTAGAAAGATCTACACAAGAACCTGCTGTTTTTATACCAATCCATCGTTTGGATTTCAGCTGCTAGTCATTGCCTCCAAGATACAGTATAGGAAGGTTGTTCTTTAAAAGAAATTAAGCATGGATATTTTTATCTGGGAGGAACTATTTAACCTATCCCATCTCCTTTTAGAAGAGGGAAATTTAATGGCAGAGTCTAAAACTTACAAGTTCTCTCCTAATGGTATGACTGACAGCATGTGTTAGATCGATAGTAAAATAATTTGAATATTTTTTGAGTGCTGTAGTTACTCTTGTTTTTTCATAAATACTTATAAAGGTAGATTTAGGGAAGAGGGATCAACAACATTGTTGTATTTGATTAGATAACCTGTCTGTACCCATGAATGGTGATACTGTACTGAAAACTATGCTAATTAGCCTCCTGTTTTCCTTGTCAGTCTTGTACCAATTGTAAAACCATTTAGATTGAGTATATATTTTGGTCCAGTGGAAATGTGGATAGATATTTTTTTCTCTTTCTCTTTTAACTCCTGACTGTTTATTTTACTCCCTCTTCTATTTGATTTTCCCCAAAGTCTGTGTCAGGTTTAAGAACCTTCTTTCTGTCCAGAATCTACTTCTAAATGGAGACAATCAAGGGGAGGGGAACAAAACATCAAAATGGCTTTTGTAAGACCAAGTTGAAATCTTCTGTCTACAGAGGGTCTTTTTGCCGACTGTATCCCTTTGCAGTTGCATATCCACTCAGTAATGTGGTTCACATAATTTGGGGGGTTTTTGAACATTGATAGGTCATGAAGATGCCTGTAGGAAAAGGAAGGGGTTGAAGGTCCCACATAGTCTTTGCATTTTGGGGAGATGGGTGCTTGGTTTGCCATCTCAGCTCCTGATACTGCTCATTTTCCATTTCCTTGTCACTGAGCATATATAGTTCCGAAGCTGGACAGAAATGGTTTTAACTGTGTGTTTAAACCTTGAGATCTTTGAGATCTCTATTTAGGTAGGAGAGTGAATTGGTGATCTATCTCTTCGGTGATGTTACTGGAGTGTTTTTAGCTCATTCATAGGCAGGCAAGAGAAGACATGAATTTTGTATTTACTAGTTCTTTTACTATTAGACTGAAGGGGATTTTGTTTGTGTTTTAGAAGCCTCTGGTTCCAAACAACGTACAAATGACTTGATTGTATTTCCTGAATTGCCTTTGTTTGATAAAGAGGAACTATATTGTGCTTTTTTTTTTTTTTTTAAGAATATTGAGCCTAAGGGTGGGCATGGGGGCTCATGCCTGCAGTCCCAGCACTTTGGGAGGCCAAGGCAGGAGGATTGCTTGAGTCCAGAAATTTCAGACCAACCTGGGCAACATAGCAAGACTCCATCTCCCCACAAAAAATTAGCTGGGTGTGGTGGTGCGCACCTGTAGCTCCAGCTACAGGATTGCTTGGCCCAGTAAAGGGTGCAGTGAGCTGTGATCGCGCCACTGCACTCAGCTTGGGCAACAGAGTGAGACCCTTTCTAGAAAAATAATGATATTGAGCTTATTTTTTTGTTACTTTAAAATCCGGAATGAGAACCTTTGAGGATGAGAGGTTAAGATGTAAAAGGGTAAAGGTGAGGAGATCGGTTCCCCCGTTGGGAGGTTTATTTCTTTATTTTTTATTTCAAATTCAGCACTTTTACTTAGTGCAGCGTGGGAATTTATTTGGGTGATTTTTGCATCCAGTTAACCTAATCAGGACATCAAAGTAACTTCCAAAACTATTGGAATTTGGGGAATTCATATCCACCATAAGGAATGAATATTCCTTATGAATACAACACAGTGATTTTATATAATGAAATGTTATATTCTGTTTTTACTTCTGTCTTCTCTGTCTTTTTTTTTTTTTTTTTAAGTCTATTAATTTAGAGTAATCTCTCTTCCTCAGCAGTGGGTAGGTGTTTTTATTTTATTATTTTTTTGTTCCATCCTTGGAGGTGTTTGTTTTTTTTCTCAAGAGATATTCAGATGAGATTTTAAAAATCCTTATTTGTTCTATTTTGCATCTTCTTCCTGCTGGGGGATTTTGCTTGAAATACGTTCAAAAGGCACAGATGATCTTGGGAGCATTTGAAAAATAAATTTAAAATGGCAGTAGAGATCAGTTGCTTTGTTTTTTCTCCTCGGTTTTGTTTCATTGTGGTGTTCCTTCTGGAAAGGGTGAGGGTCAAGGCCTGTGTTTATGAGCTGTTTTTCTTATTCCACCAGGTTCTCCTGCGCTGCCCAACAGCATGGTGTATTTTGGAAGCTCTCAGGATGAGGAGGAAGTCGAGGAGGAAGATGATGAGACAGAAGACGTCAAAACAGCCACCAACAATGCTTCATCTTCATGCCAGTCGACCCCCAGGAAAGGAAAAACCCACAAACATGTTCACAACGGGCATGGTAGGTCCACCGTTGAACTTGGATAAGAAAAAATCTAAAGCTTTGGGTGAGAGCTGGAAGAGAGCCTCTGCTGAGAAGAGATGAGATGAAGGCAAAGCTCGTTCTGGGTACTTCTCCAGGGCCAGACACTTCATGGGCAAAGGGATTATTAGTGTAGCTTAGTGTAGTCCAGGGTGTTCTAGGTGAGTGCAGATACTCTGATGATGTGGAGATGATGGTAAATTCTATAAGAGCTGTAGATAAACAGGCATCAGAACAGGAAAAGACCAGATCTACATGGGGATGGTCAAGAAGATTTGGTGAAACAACATCTGTGCCCCCCTTTAATTACTAATGTGATTTTAGCAGGTGGATATGGTATAGGAAGAAAATTATCATTCCTCCTATGGAATTGCACATACATTCTGAAGTGGACTGATTTTCCCCTTGCGTGTATAGTGTGGAGGAGGAGGATAAAAGGCAGGAACAATAGCTTGAGTATCACAGCAAAGAAACTCATCTTATGTGGATAAGTTGGCTATAGAAAGTGCCTAGTGGTCTTTTCTCTCTGTCTCTCTGTCTCTCTGTCTCTGTCTCTCTGTCTCTGTCTCTCTCTCTCTGTCTCTCTCTCTCTCTCTCCTGTCTCTCTCTCTCTCTCTCTCTCCTCCCCTTCTCCCCCTCTCCCCCTCTCCCCCTTTCCCCCTCTCCCCCTCTCCGCTTCTCCGCTTTTCCTTTCTTTCCTTTCTTTCTTTTGTGACGGAGTCTCGCTCTGTCGCCCAGGCTGGAGTGCAGTGGCGCGATCTCGGCTCACTGCCAGCTCTACCTCCCGGGTTCACGCCATTATCCTGCCTCATCCTCCTGAGTAGCTGGGACTACAGGCCCCCACGTATTACAGACATGAGCCACCACGCCCAGCCGCCTAGTGGTTTTTCAATAGAGAAGTGACTTAAATGGAGTTGTGCCCTGAAAACATGAAGCCGGCATCGATGATGAGGACTTCTTAAAGGGAAATAACTTGAAGGGGAAATGCACAGCGAGGTTGTAATTGTAGGCAATTCCCTGACCGAAGGTTGTCCAGTAGACATTGGAAGATGTAGAATAGGTATAAAAAGGAGTGATTTCAGAGGCAGCACAGAGGTAGTCCTGAACCAATTGGAATTGCACTGAGTGGGGGAATGAGAGTAAGAAAAGAGGAAAGAGGCTGGGCGAGGTGGCTCACACCTGTAATCCCAGGACTTTGGGAGGCTGAGGTGGGCAGATCACGAGGTCAAGAGATCAAGACCATCCTGGCCAACATGGTGAAACCCCGTCTCTACTAAAAATACATAAATTAGCCGGGCATGGTGGTGTGCTGCTGTAGTCCCAGCTACTCGAGAGGCTGAGGCAGGAGAATGGCGTGAACCCGGGAGGCGGAGGTTGCAGTGAGCAGAGATCGTGCCACTGCACTCCAGCTTGGGCGACAGAGCGAGACTCTGTCTCAAAAAAAAAAAAAAAGTAGGAAAGAAAGAGGAGGGAAGCAAAGAGAATGGGAGTCAGGAGATATGGCTGTTTTCTGTTGTCCTCCTATCAGCTACTCCACTAGACATACTTTACTTAGGACCCACTGAGACCCTGTAAGATAAAGAAGCCTTGTCTACAAATGGCGGAAAATCAGTGCTGTCTGTAAGTGATTGAGGCAAAGGAGAGCTGCTCATTTTTCTCCTTGGTGCCTATGCACTGAGCTACCATTTGCCTTTCTGGATTCACCGGGAAATAGAGGCTCAGGACAAGCATAGCTTAGACATGATTGAAATCTCTGTCTAGCTTTCATTGTTGTTGGGCATTTCTGCTCTGTCCACTTAATAATTGTTCATCTGGCTTGCCTCTTGCTTTTGATTGTGTTTAGGTGACACATCTGCATAGTAGAGGGTGCAATCTCTTTTTAGGTTCTTGTGGTTTAATTGGGGAGATGGGGTAAATACAAAATGTAACTACATTTTAACCTTTCGGGAAAAGGTTGTTACCTGCAGCTGTGGTCATCAGGGCATCTGGGTGGTTGGAAGAGAGCTGCATATGTGAATTGGAATGCAGGTATTAGTGTACGGATGTAATTTCTAAGGAGGAAGAACATCGCAAACAGAGCGATGCGGAATAATGCCTGTTTTTGGGACTGTTGCCTGTTGTTCCACCAGTGTGGAGGTCTACTGTTTGGTGACCTGGAAAGACCTGGGCACGAGAAAGAATTCTAATAACAGAATAGGAACCTGTTGATGATTTTAGATGTGGGAGTAAGAGGAAATGCGTCAAGTTCTGAACGATTCCTTTGGTAGCAGACTAGTCTGAAATAAAGGAAAAAATTATTGTATTCAGAGAGTTCCATCCAGGCAACAGCTGATGTGAACCTGAACTTGAGAAGCTACAGTGGCATAGCTTTTCCCAGGGGCCTGCAGAGGCGGGGGTGAAGGTAATTGAATAGGAATTAGGAATGGGTTGATTTGTGGAAAGGTAATAACTTTATAATCTTTTGAGTTTGTGTTGATGGTGAGAGACAACCGAATTATTGAGAATACACCAGGAATTTATCATTTTGGAGCTGCTGCTTGAAGCCTCCTGAATAAGTAAAGTTTTTGAAATATAATATGGATAGAAAGGAAACCTCTGGAGAACTTTTTCTTGTGAAGGAATTTAATTTTCTAGGTTTCTTTTTGGTTTAATAGAGATTGAAGAGTGAAGAAATATGAACAAAACATGGAATTACCCTCATCTGTTGTCTTCTGCATGGCTGTATGATAGAAATCTGTTTCATCAGTGTAGTATCGGATTGGGTCCTTTTCATAAGTTGTTTTTCACCCTTTTATGCTGATTGGGCAGGTGAATTTATCTGACGTCTTGATCAGTTGAGTTAATCCCATGTATACTAGTGCAGTTGTACTGGGGTTGCTAACTCCTTTGTTTTCCAGAGTGTTTGAGCTTGATTTAGAGACATTGGATTCACATGCTGATTTTTCTCATGGATTCAGTTTTTAATGTTAAGAATCATCATCTGCATGGATCTTAGGTATGTGCAGGGGCAGTGACTATCTGGCAGCATGTTACATGGAGCATATGAAAGAAGGGGATGGAATGAGGGTGAAGGGATAGGCTGAGCTCTCACCTAAAGGAGGGCATAATGATTCTACATTGACCACTGTCATTGCCACTAGGAGTCAAGGAAAGTGTAACTATCTATAGATACATATCTCTGTGCATTTACACAGATGAACTTCTGAGTTTCAAAAATCTTAGGAGATTCTACTTTTTCATTTTTTATTGTTTAAAATTTAAAATTTTATTTAAAAATTTTTTTAATTTTAAAATTAAAAATTTAATGCCTGTTAATTCAGATATTTCCAGGAACAGTGTTGGGATTTTTTTGTCCCCTCATGAATTTTGATGTCTCTCGGTGAGGGGCTGGTAGGATAGTGTGAATCCTGGCTCCAGGCTGGGAAGACTAGGTGGAATGAGTGGTCTTGGGTAAGCACCGACACACCCACCTCCTACTGCTGTTTCTGAGTTGTGCCCTTGCCCTCCTTGCTGTCCCTCTTCCGCCCTGTCTCTTCTGTCATCCTTTCTTTTACAATAGAGTCACAGCATCAGATAGAGGAGCTGCAGGAAGCATACCCAAACCAGCTGAGCTTAGTAAGGGGACTAACTTCACTGAAATGTACAAACCTTTCTGTGCTTCCTTTTCTGAGACTTGTAGATAACCAAACTGAAAGGCCTTTCTCACATCCCTGAGCAGCTGGCTTATAATTTTAATTAGATTGATGTCATCTGTGATTAGGCCTGCCCCCAACCTCCAAGTGTCTACCATTTTGATTATGTCGTATTTGAATTGTGAATGGGTTTTCTTTGATTTCAACCCAGCAGAGTCCCAGAACTACCATCTTGGGAGAAGCCATGGGGCTGTGCAGTCTGTTTGCCTGCACCTGAACTTCAGGGGAAGTTTGGTGGGGGGATTGTTGCAGGCCCAAGAGACCTGTATTTAGATCTGTCCAGACTGCAGTCCTTCTTGCTGTCCCATTCTGTTGTCCAGAGTCACCAGCCATTTCCCTGTTCAGTCTGTGTTAGGCCTGCCCGTTCCTGAGCAGGCACTCACTTCCTGGGCATGTCCCTCTGCAATTTAATTCATTGCTCTTCAGCAGCGTCATAGGGAAGTTTGAATCTTATTTAGTCTGAGGTTTTCTTTCTATTGCTATGCCTGGGCATTTTTTAGATCTTAACCTGGTCAGAAAAATTCCATTTCCTGTGCAAGTCAAAGAGACAAGCACGAAACCAACTCCACTAGAATTTTTCCTACAGAATTTGTGAGTTTTTAGCAAATGTGAATACCCGTGTTAGGAAAGATTTCATATTTACATGTTCCCGAAATTGCTGTATTTGTGGAGGATTTGGAGAGAGCTCAAACTCATTTTATTGTGATAAGTGCTGAAACATAATCATAGAATCTTTGCCATGTTAACAGTGGTGAATGATATTAACCATTTATGGAGTTACCTTTTCTCTCCTAAATCAAATAAGATTAACTTCTGTATAAATGAGAAAAATGTAAGCCCCTGTGCTGACGTAAGCGCTCTGAAAGATAGCACAGATGAACACGGCAATAGGATCTACCCACAAGGAGCTAATGGGAGATGATGTCTCCTGGCACATCTGTCAGAAACGTCAGAAGACATTCAGGTCTTTACGTGTGTTTCTCCTGATGAAACAGGTTTCAGTGTCTCATTCATCTTTGTCATTCCCTGTCACTTGGTGATGCTACCTGGGTGACTTGTCTCCCTTGTCTTCTGATGTGCGTGCCCCCCCCCCCCCCCCGCTTTGTGTCCTGCCACCCACCTCACACCCATATACCAAGGTCCTTAAGAGGGGGGTGGTGTGATCGTTGGGGCTCCATTAAGACATTTTGTAGTTTTTGTGTATATTTATGGGTTTTATGTATTTGTTGTCCCTTTGTAGGCATCCGAGTACCAAGTCTTTTGTGAAGTCATATGAAAAGAAAAAATCCCCACAAGCCACTACCTGGGATATAGGTCTCTGCAGAGTCCTTCCTGCTGTTGCCACATGGCTTGAATGGCCTTGGAAGCCAAAGAGTAACAATCCACAGGATGTCAGTGCTTCCTTATGACGCCAGTGGAGGGAATGGAATAAAGCCAGCTTAGTAATATACAGGCCACTTGGAATGCTCCTCCGATTTCAAATGACCCGGGGGAACATGGTGGTTTCGTGAAACCAAAGTCAGCTTTGAAGAAAGCTAATGTCAGCCTCAGGTTCAGGCAGTACTGTAGAAGAACACTGAGCTCTCAGTAGCTGGCTAGCTGTGCTGCCTTCCCCAGTCTATTTCACATCCGCTTTTATATCAAGGCAGATGACAAGGAAACAAACTGACGTCAGTTTATTAAAGGAAACACTTGTGATATTGGGAGTAATCCCTCAGGCAAGAGGTGCTAATTGAACCTAAGAGTATTTCTGAAGTTACTATTTTCAACAGTAGAGAAGGAAATTATTGATCATCTCATCCAAAATTGATAAAAACCTAAGTGTAGCAGTCTTTCAAAATTAAATATTCTCAGCTGTGGAATATTCTCATGCCCAACATTGCTACTTCCTCAACCATTTCTAGATGATTAAAATTACACTGTAATGCCATGTTGCTCAATATGCATATTTGTTGTCATTTTTGTCTGTTCATTTCTTAGGAATGTCTTTGCCACCATCGAACAGTCATCAGGAACTTAGTTGCATGCCTTTTTTTTTTTTTTTTTAGCTACTCGTTAGCTTGTGTGTTCTTGGGCAAGGTATTTACTTAGCTTCTCTGATTCTTAATTTCTACTTCTGTGAAATCAGCATGATAGAGTAGATTAGCATTAATTTGTCCAGTCATTGATTCATTTATATCCCAGCATAAGGAAACAATGAGGCTGTATCATGGGCAGCAGTAGAGCCATTCAGATCTCTAATGGTGGATGCCAGCCATTGTTATATGTTCAAGGAAAATGACATTTCCAAGATCACTATTCAGCTGGGTGAAGGTTCCCAACTAAAATTTTGTCCCTGTAATCCATTCTTCTTTCCCTGAGATAATAGTGACTTGTCCAGATTAAAACTTTTATATCCCACCGTGTCTTCAACCCCATTTACATTGCTATCTATACTTTGTTTTCTTCATTCTTTTATAACCCTTAGGAAAACTGGTGTACTGTTGCATCCTCCAAGCAAAGGCTGAGTTGCTGAAAGTCAGTAATAATCCCGGTTGACACCAGTCGTTTACACAAGAATCCTCCAAGTGGTCAGACTGCTGGGATCACCTAGAGCTTTGTTTTCATGTGTAATAAATACAGATCAAATGTTGGCAACAGTTCCCATGGCAGCTAAAAGTTCTTTCCTGCAAAATTTCACTGAGGTCCATTTCTCTGTAAGTTTAGAGCGGAATTCCTAGAAATTTCTTATAATGGGATTTCATTATGAGTATCCATCAGTCATCAAAGGGAGTATTTATTTAAATGTGACATAATATAAAATGAAACAGATCTTCCTATAGAGGGTTCCTTGCAATAAAAAGGCAATCAGGCACCAGTGCCTTGCAAATCTAATGAAGCTTGGAGCTCTGCAGGTGCAGGTGCTGTCAGAAAAGAGGTTAGCAATTTTCTGAACCTGAAGAAGGCCTCTTCTGAACTGCAGACAGAGGAAAGAGTCCTGGAGAGCACCACATCTCAGGCCACATCAGGTGCTGTGGAACTGCCAGGGAGGCCCAGGTCCTCGCTTCGCCGTGCAACTAGCATTTTCTCTTGCATAATCGCCTACCACCTGTTCTTCAACATAAACCCACTAGCCCCACATTGTGCCATGAGACAAGGCACCTGAGCCAGGCCGTGCTGCACCTGCGACCTCAGGAAGCTGTGATGCTCTGCCCTTACCCCTGTTCCCTGATTTTGGAGTGCCTTGGTGAATAGAAGCAAAACACGAGCTGTGCTTTTAGATGAAAATAAGTTCTCTGGCTGCATGGAAAGAACGGTTTGGATATAGTTAGTTAAGAAGGTGAGAGCTCAGTCTTCCCTCCTCACACCTCAGTTTTACTCCCTCATTTTTTGAAAACATTCAAATATAGAGGCAGATGATCTTCGTGTCCTTTTGGTTTCTGACTTGGGTGAAGAAGGCACAGGTCTTAAAATAGGTTTTCTTGCAGGGAGAACCTGGGTGAGGGCATCACGATTGTGTATTCAAGCAACTGCTCAGAATTGTTAATCTTTCACAAGCGAAAGGGGAGAGCAAGCTGGTTGTTTTGTGACTTTTCCATTACAGGGTATTTCTCTTATCAGATTTGTGCTTTTCCCTATTTTGTATGCTCGAGCTGTTGAGGCGTGTCAGGAAATCTAGCAACATCTGTATCCTCCCCAGAGGGATCACCCCTGCTGAAATGTGGGGAGATAAACACACAGAAAACAAAAGTATGGAAAACTGATGCTTTACCACTGGGGTGGGTTTGGCCAATATTTTAATTAGGCCACATTTCAAGGAGAACAGCTTTATTTCAGCAGCTAGCTGAAGAACCTAGAACCCAGACTGCCAGGGGTGTCCTGTTTCATCTTGTTTCTCCACAAAAGAGCAGAGTGGCTCTGGTCATGGAGCCGGGACCTCTGGCCTCATGGCAGAGGTGGCAGGAGAGGACACACACACCATCCACAGTGTCCTGCCATCAGCTTCCACATGGGCCTGAGACTGTACCCTTCTTCCTCCGAGCAGGAGTCCTGATGCCAGTAGTTTCCTGCAAGAGCCTGCTGTCCCCAGGCAGATGTTTTGTTTTGCAAACATTACACAGGACTCTAATGTGCTCATTTGTAATCCACTGAACATCCTAATGGAAATGGATTTATTAAAATATATAATCTGAAATGATTTGGACAGCATCACATGAGCTTTTAACCTTGGGTTAGCACTCAAGGGTTACAATAACAATGCTTCCAGCAACTTCTATTTCAATAGCACATCAGAGTTTCCAAAATACTCTTCCATATACAGAATCTCAAATGATTCTAAAAATGGAGCCCTTAGGTAATGACTATTTGGAAACCAAATAACACAATCAGAACACTGCTTCATGGGTATTTATATTACAAGTTGATATTTGAGATGCCTAGATTTTTCTTAAGCTCTCATAATTGGTTATTTTTTCCAGGGGGTAAGTGAGGTAGACTAGAGGAATTAATAAATGCCTTTGGAATGAGTTTACCTTGGCTTTTTGAGTGCTTTGAGGAGGAGACCTTGGTGAAGGCTTGTTGCTAGGTCAGCTGCATGTGTATCTTTTAAATGCTTTTTATAACTTAAAAACGGAAGGAAGAAGAGTGGCTGTTGTTTCTTTTGTGCATATCGTTTTCTGAAGAGGGATGTTTCTCAGAAGACTTTTTAAACAGCATGTCATTGGACTCCCAGCTGGAATGACTTAATTGCTTTTAGATTCATACCGGGGGCATGTTGTGTAAGGGCCAAAAAGCAATCATTTGGACGAGTTTATCACATTTCTGCTCTGTGGTTGCCTTTGAGGGGCATTGAGCCCTCTCTTTGTCTGGGCGGTGGGGTGTTGGGGTGTCGGTCATGCATCAGGGTCAGGAGCTTGCCATAGCCCTGCTATGTTCAGTGGGGACAGACACTCTGTAACAGACAAATGCCGCCTCCCCGCCCCCGAGAGAACATGTGATATTCTCTTTACCTCTTTTTAACCTCTGGTAGCTCCATTTTTCCTGTTGAGACAAGTGACTATTCCAAAAAGTTGGAATATGGGATGGGAGTGTTGGTTTTTTTTTTTTTTTTTTTTTAAGAGCTGTAATACATGTAGAGAGACCAGTTATACAATGTATGTTTCTAACCACCCCCTTTACGCATTTGGGGCGGTGTTCCTTAGAGGCCGTTGGGTAGGATGGTTCAGAGCATCATGATTACAGCACTGACACACTTATGGCTGCAACCTTAGGATTTTTCTGTTTTAGTTTTCTTATCTCTGAAGAAGAGATCATAGGTTTTGGCAATAACTAAATGAATTGATACATGTTACAACAGTTAATGTTAGAAACTGCTGTGTTGCATATTATCATTAACATAATGTGATTGAAAAGATCTGGTGCCTGGAACAACCTTATAATTGCTAGGAAAACTCGAGAAAGTTTATGTATCTCAAATGCCTGGGGCACGATGAGGACTGTCAAAGAGTCAGCCATTACCCTTGAGTGTTGTGACATCATCAGCCTCGCCAGAACTATGTTGTGGGCTGTTTCAGTGTGGTAGAAGGTCTTGGTAATTCCTGTGTCAGGATTATCATCCTTTCCCTGTTTCTTCTTGCTTTGCTAAAGTATTTATTTGTTCCACTGGCCTCGTAGGGCCTTAGTGGGGGATATAGGCACACACTTCGGGATAGTTGGCCCATGCCCCATGAGTTTGGTGTTGTTACCTTCGTAACTCTTTCTGTGACAGGCAGCTAGAAGATGGTGTATCTGGTGGTGGAAGAGAAGCTCCTGGCTCTGATCCCTCTTTTTAGCCTGGTGTCAGGGCTAAAAAGATTATTTAGCCTCTTTAAGCTTTAGTTTTCCTCCTTTGTAAAATTATATTACTAATACCTGACTCGCAATGCTGCTTGGGGTTGTGGGGGAGGATATGTGAGGGTGGGGTCACTACTCTCAGGTATGGATGCAGAACCCACAGATAGAGAGGGCCGACTGTATTTAGTTTTTTCGTGCTAATGTTTTTACTTTGAAAATGACCAAGTTGCCTATAACTTGTATAGTCAATTGTGTCAATGGGATGCGTTCTGGTCTAACTCGCATGTGCATATTTAAGGGTGTTTCTCTCTCGGTGTGTAGTAAACAGTTTACAAATTCCTTACTCAAATCCAAAGGTGAGCCAGAACTCTTATCACTGACTTCAGATGTGGTTGGCCTGTTTTAAATCATTATTTTTGGAATTTAGGTTTTTTGTTTTGTTTTGAGATGGAGTCTCACTCTTGTCACCTAGGCTGGAGTGCAATGGCGCGATCTCGGCTCACTGCAGTCTCCACCTCCCGGGTTCAAGCGATTCTCCTGCCTCAGCCTCCTGAGTAGCTGGGATTACAGGTGCCCGCCACCATGCCCGGCTAATTTTTCTACTTTTAGTAGAGATGGGGTTTTTACTGTGTTGGCCAGGATGCTCTCCCGAGCTCAGGTGATCCGCCTGCCTCGGCTTCCCAAAGTGTTGAGATTACAGGTGTGAGCCACCGTGCCCGGCCGGATTTAGGGTTTTATGAAACCCAAAACTGCAGAAACATTTTATTCGTGTGTTCTTTACGAGTTAACGCCATCCTTTTCTGAGTGTAACCTGCAGTTCTGTGCTCTTGCCTTGATTCTTGCCAGTGATAAAGCACGAGAGCCTTGCAGACCAACTGCCTGTTGCCCCGTAAGGCCATTTGTCCAGCTGTTCCTCCCTTACCATTAACGCAAACATTTTAGAGTGACTGATGCCCACACAGGCCGCGGGGCTAGTAATCATCAGGTCTGCCATCCTTTCCTCAGCACTTTTGGGGGCCAAGAGGGCCAAGAAGCCATTTTTCAATGACAAAAACCATTCATCCTGATTTATGGTCTTTCTGTTGTCCTGACCTTTATATTCTCATAAAAGTCTTTTAATTTTAGTGTCGTATGTTAGCAGGAATATATGTAAGAAATTTGTGTAAAGGGCAGATATATCCAAGTCTGTTATTTTATCATTGCACATAATGCATTCACACTTGGAGATCATGATGAGAGTGGCAACCAAGTGGTAATTGGTGGGAAAAATATTACAGAATTTAAGTTCTTCTATAGAAAAGGAAGAAGATGTGATTGGCTTTAAACATTCTATTTCCAGATATCTGTTATAATTGTGATCAAAGTGAAAGAGATTTCATTGTGTGAAAGTTCCAGAAGCGTTTTACAAAGCCTGTAAACCAGTAGAATTTGCTTATGATACTGGAGTTTCGGAGTACAGAGGCAGCATCCCAGGTTGACGTTTGTTCCCTGTGCGAGTGAGCTGCTGGCTGGATGCAAGGTGATAATGGGGGTTTTGCTCACCTAAGCTGTGTTCTTGCAGCTTTCCCTAGTTTTACACGTGGATGGTGGAGCTGTTTTGGCCCAGGGCAAACCGGGTTACAGCACTCACACATGCTACATTAAAATCCATTTGAACTGTTGGCACAGGTTGGCAGACATTCCATTGTTTTCAGACAATAGTGACTCAAAGTTGAACTGGCTCCAGGGAGCAAGTGTGGCTTTTGTACAGTAACAGGGATTTAATGCCAGCCAATTGACGGAGTCTGTGTCTTGCCCAAGGAAGGGATGCCTTGTAATGACATGAAGCGTACATTTAAATATCTGGCTTGAGATCAGAAACTTGCGGTGGATCTCTTTTCCCTTGCTTAACACATTTCTTCTTTATTTACAGTGATTCTTTTTTTTGCCCCTTTCGTTTGTTTTGGGGTGTGGACAGGAAGAAGGTATTTTAATTTGGGGGTTAGTTCGGTCCCATCTTCAGGGTCTTCTTTTCCTTTGTTGCCTTGCTAGCAGATGTTTCGGCTGACTTTCTGTAATGGTCCTTGTCTGGATTTTTCTCTTTCAAGGAGGTTAGGCCTTCTGAACTGTATTATTTCAGGTCATACACTGCATAATTCCAGGATATCTTATAACTTTTGCTGGATGCCAAGTAAGGACTCCTGTTTCATACACATCTAATAATCTAATAATACACATCAGGATTCCCTCTTGTGTTTGGATGAGGTGCCTTTATTAGCATGGGTAATTGGCAAGATAGGGGCGTCTGGTTCTGGGAGGCGCTTGGAGACAGGTAAAAGTAGAAGGCCAGCTTTGTCAGCTTTCTCTAAAAATTATATTTTTCACATGTGGATCTTTGCCATTGCAGCAAGAGCTTTCGAAAAGATCATTCTTCTTATATTTGCGCAACTCCTTTCTCTGAAGAACGCAAAGCACTTATATACTTTATTCAAAATACTTCAGCAAGTCCTGGAGGGCGGATAAGAGGAAGCAGCCAGCTGGTCTGTAGTTCAGGGAATTGAGGCCCAAACGGGGTTGGTGAGCAGAACTAGACATCAAAATCAAGAGTCTGTGCATGGAGTGAGGGTATTAAAAACCTTGCGATCAGTTTCTCATAGGGCTGCCTTCCTTGAGGGTCTCTTCCAGGAAACTTGTGTCAGCATCTAAATATGCGAACAAAGCTTTTGGGGAACATTGTTTAGGACAAGCTCCCTGGAGGTATAGTTGTGAATTCCCCTAGGAAAGTGTATCTCTCTGCCTTTCAAATTGTTACAGGATTGCTATTAAATATGTTTCTAAAGTAACTTCTTTTGCCCATATCTTTTTCATCCCTCATTGGGAGCAAATCTTACCTTCTCAGGGATGAGGTGACCCTAAATCAAAATAATAGCCTTTGGATTTAAAGATTTTGCCTGCCGTGGTGTGAAAACACTTTTCTATAGGCCGTTTAACTTTCAGAGTATGTGTATACAAATCAATATATTTGTCTCTGTTCGTTAATGTAAAGCTATTTGTATCTGAGTACAATACAATTTCCTAATATGGTTCACAGTGATGAATGCTTTTTTTCTCTCCTTAAAGAAACTAGTCCAATTATTTCTTTTAATTGGGGACAGTGTGTGGAGGACTTCTATACATTGAACTTTCTGTCTTTCTCTCTCTTATGTTCACAGGGTTTAATCTTTCCCTGTGAGAGTGAATATTTTTTTTCCTTTCCTCTTCTCTCCCTTTCTCAAATCTTACAAATTAAGACAAAAGATAATTACTTGGAGGAGTAAAACTGGCAGGTTCCCACGACACTTAAAATTAATGAGCTGTTGAGTACAAAATATACCTTGTCTTTGGCTCTGTCGGTGTTGCCCAGTCCTCCCCCTGCCCCCTTTACTTCCCGTTTAACACATGATTTGACTTTCTGGCTATGTTTGCCATTTGGGTATATCGCTGCTCTAAAACAGCATGATGGTTACAAAAAGTGGGTTTGGTTGGAAACCTTCTCTTTGTTTGCAAATGAAAGTTAATTTGATTCAGTTTTTAATTTCCGTATGTTTGAAAACTCTTCCATTTCCAGATATCTCATCAAAATATTCTTTAGTAGAGTACCTTGCTGAAGTCTTCAGGGCAGCCAGTTTATGGTTCACTATGTTAATTTCACCTGCCTCCCTCTCGTCTCCGTTTCCCCTTTCCTATAATCCTGGTACTCACCGCTTTGCTGTCCATAGTATTTTCCTGAGCAGTAGGTTTTGTGACCTCAAAATACAATCAAAGAGTTGTGCATCTGGTTTCAGGTACGGATACTGCAATGAAGGATCTGTTTTTTTCAGATAAGAAAGATACTGCTGACTAACCACAGTCACACTCTTCAAGTGTCTGTGAAAGTCCCAGCTTAGCAACTGGCCTTGCCCTGCCAAGTGATTTATCACCGAACAGGTGACTCCTGTCAGTTTTTATGTGACACATCAAGCTTCTTGAAATCATCATGTAAGGAGTAATGGAACAGATGATCTGGCCCCAGGGTTTCAGGCATTTTGAATTCCAGACCCCTTTCTACTTTTAGAAGTTATTGAGGGACCCCAAAAGGCTTTTATTAATGTGGATTATATTTATTAATATCAGCTTTAATTCTCATATCTACCATATTAGAATTAAAAGTTAAGACACTTTAAGATATTTATTCATTTAAAAAATGACACAAACCAGTTACGTGTTAAACACATATAGCATTTTTTAATGAAAAATAATCATAGTCCAAAACCAAAAACTTATTAAGAGTTACATTATTTGACCTTTTTGTTAATCCCGTTAATGTCTTACTAAGTAGGATACAGCCATATTATGATTGCTTCTGTATTCATCTCTTGAGTGTTGCAGTACATAGTTTGGTTGATGTATATGAAGAAAATCAGCTTTGGATAAATATGTATGTACATGGGAAACGGTCTTTGTAGATGATTTCAGTACTTGATAGGATAGTAGGCTCTACTGGTAGTTTCCTACAGGTCAGTTGCTCTGGGAACCTGTACCTGTATCAGTGAACTTTTCATACTGTTACATTAATATCCATTGGTTTGTCTTTTTCTTTGAATGGACCTTTAACCCATGCACTGTTTTGTAGCATCCTATGTTGTTCATTTGAAAATAATGGTTCAGTGAGTTCTTGTTAGCACCTTTGGTAATGAACAAGGGTACATCATCAAAGAATTTCTGTCGAACTCATGATGGCAGATACTGGTTTTCTGAAATTCTAATTTTTGCCTGAAAGCATGAATTCTGTCATTGGCAGCAACGACTATTAGTTACTTTCCTTGAATAGACAGGCTTGCTTTGTTCATTTTTGAAAAAAATCTAGTAACTAAGTAAAAACTACAAATAACTAAGTCCGAAGAACTATAGTGTGTTGGTCCTTCTTGAAATAAAAACAACATCCTATGAAAAAGGGGCTAGCCCAAAACTTGCACAATCACACAAGTGCTTTTCCCTAGAGATGATCATTGTATTTCTGTATATAGGAGAAGTGCTTTATGTGTAATAGCATCTTGTCACACAAAGTATGTGTGCTCAGGGGCCATGATTCAGTCATACTCACTGTTTGTATGACTTTATCAAGGTCATTCTTAAGTGAAACTGGCTGTTTTTTTTTTTTAACTGCTACTAATCCATGGTAGGGATGAAATGCATATTAGACTAGTGTATAGTAGTTTGGTGCCATTGCCTTTGTTTATGCTAAAGTACCCGTGATTTCACCCATATTTTAAAAATATATTTTGTTGAGATAAAATTCACACATTATAGAATATACCCATTAAATGTACTGTAGCATGTATCAATACTTGATTTCCTTTTTATGGCTAATACTTCATTGTATGGATATACCACTTTATCTAAATAAATATCAGTTGGATCTTCGGTGATTTCCCCCAATTTTTAACGATTAGTAATAATTCTGCTGTGAATATTTGTGTGCAAGTTTTTATGTGGACATATTTTTTATTTCCCTTGTGTACATTCCTGGAAATGGAATTGGTGGGTCATATGGGAACTCCTACGTTTCTCCTTTTGAGGAGCTATCTGAAAAGGAGAAACCATTTTGCATTTCCGCCAGTAGTGTGTGAGGGTTACAGTTTCTCCACATCCTTGCAATCAGTCATCATTATCCATCTTTATGATATGACTTTACATCCTAGTCGATGTAAAGTGGTGTATCTCATTATGGTTTTGATTTGCATTTCCCTTATAGTTAACCTACCATTTTTCGTGCCATCAGTGCAGATGTCTATCCATTGTAAAGGCAAATAATGTCTTTGTATTATTATGAAATAGTTTCGACCCTAGCACATCTCCTGCAAGGGTTTCTAGGTCCTTGAAGGGTCTGTAAATCTCCTTTGAGATCCACTGATCTGACCATACGTCGCTAGTGGAAAATTGGGATGTGTTTTCAGTGTTGTATTTCTTTTTGCTCAGGCAGGTGATTAGCTACTCCTCTTTTTCCCATGAAAGTGATACTGGCAAGTGTTAGGAGGCACCTGGCTCTGCTGGACTTTGTCCACAGACTCTCAGTCATGGTCTGGCATGAGTAGGAGACGTAACAGGCATGGTCAGTGTGGACAAATTAATGACCCAGAGGAGTAGGAGGTTGTATTGGGTCTTGCTGAGACCAGTGTTTGTCTGCATTGAAGCCCTTCTTTATACTCTGTCTGCAGGGAGGGATATGAGGCAAAAAGAGATTTGCCCACAATCTGATTGTGCAGTAACCTGAGATGGCCCTTTTAAACATGCAGTGATAGTGTCTCCCAAATACTGTGTACCTACTGAACCCCAGACATTGTGGTAGATGTTCTACCTACCGGAACATCTGCTATTCCCCAGTCTATAGATGGGAAAACTGATGATTAAATAACTTGCCCAGCTGCAAACAACAGAGCTGGGAATGAGCTGCAGATAATGTTTTGAAGGGCGGGAAACCCATATAGTAATATTTTGTTAAGTGAATAAAGAGAAGTAATTATAGAACTGGTGCTTCTTTGTAGCAGGCCTCACCATGAGACATGTCTTAATGGCAGGAAAAAGCACAGAGAAGTTTGGAGGAGTATTGGAGATTAAAAAAAAAGCAACTACTTCCTATGTTTTAATAAGCTGTGTTCACTGCTTTAGAAAATTGGTGAACAGTCAAGAATTGCCTAGATTCATGTTCCCTTGGCTTGATTTTTAATCACATTGAAGTATGACTTCTTACGGATGTTGCTTTTAATTTGTCTTGAAAGCTAGCACAGATACTGCCAGCTTGGGCATGATTGATGGTTTCTGACAATGGGTAGTTACTTAGAATAAATGCCAGCCATTTGAAACTCTCCATTTTCTGTGTTAACTGAGAGTATCCAGTAGAATCTTGTGCAACGTCGGATTGTATCCCATATTTTGACGTGGCCTGGTCTTTCCTTCAGTATTTTAAAATCTATTAATCACTGGTGTTGGAAGGAACTTTGAGATAAAGGCTCACAACCGATAATCCAGATGGGGATAATGGAGATCTCCATCTTATACCATGACAATTGGACTAAAGAATTAAATCCAAGCAGTTTAATTAGAAAACAATTAGAAGGAAACTTAGAAGATTATTTTACCGTTTGAAAGCATGGGTGGTGGAATGGAGAAATGTTGATGAAAGGGTGCATGCAAAGTTGGTTTGAAGGGAGAGAGAAAATCTGGAGATCTACTGGACAGCCTTGTGACTAGTCACTAATAATGTAGTGTATACTCAAGTTGCTTATCTTACATATTCTTAGCACAAAAGTATATAAGGGGATTGGGTGTGGTAATTAGCTTGATTAATCACTTTATACATGTATTAAAACATGTCATACTGTAAACGTACCATTTTAATTGTTATACTTTCATAAAACTGGGAGAAGATATACGGAAGGGTAGGTTAAGCACGAAAGCAAGAAACAAAGAAATTTGTTAGCAGATTTGGCACCACAGCAAATGAAAAAGTAAACGGCAAAAGAGGACAGTATTTGCAATTTATAAGACATTAATATAATTTAAAGGACTCTTAAAATTCCATGTGAGATTGAATGTTGGGGAAAAGGGAGTTTTCAGAAAGGACAGACAGGTAAGATGTTTAGAGGAGGAAAGATTTGATTTCCCCTTCTGCAAGCCAATAGGAAGAGATTTACAACTCAAAGGAGGAATAATTTTCACTTTCATCTGCTGCTGTGGGGGTGAGGGAATTCTACCTGAAGTTCTGCCAGTCCTGGTTGGGGTGGGGATGGCCTGGAGCTGCTCAAGTGCCAGATGCATGAGTGGACACAGTAACCTTTTGAAAACTCCCTCTGGCAGGATGATGGCTAAAAGATCACTATAGCTTCCCCTTGCTGATCTGCCTAAAGGCAACCCAGGAACAGGGTGTGCTTCCTCCTTCCCTGAAGAAACAGGCCCTGTTTGGACTGTTTGTGGGGAGACAAGGCCTGTGGGTTCCAGAGAAATGGATGTGAAAGTCTCGTTTATTCCATGGGGAGGGACTGTAAAGCAGAAGGATAAACCCATAACGTTGGTGTTTCTGGTTTTCTGTAGAAACCCCAAGCATCCCTGTTCTCTTTTGAAGTCTCTGCCTCATGGGTAGGAAGCACCATGCTCACTGGAAATTCTCACTTGTAGCCACCTGGGGTTTGGGGTGGATGGGGTGGGCTTGGGAGGCAGGCTGACTTCATGTGCCAGGGATAGGTGGCATGGCCTGTGCCAGGCACGTACCCCCTCCATCTGTAAGTGTCCTGTCCAGTAGGGTTGTTCTGAGGATTCAGAGGCTCAATGTACTTCAGGACTTTAGCATAGTTCCCCTGGCTTATAGGAAGCACTTAAGAAATACTAGCTATTAGCTATTGCTGTTTTTGAATTTAGGAACAGAAAATGGGTCTGGCTCAAAGTTCCATCATCCCTTTCTTCATCTCTGTTGTCACTGATAGGTCAGATAAAGCAGCTGCGCCCCGAACTCATGCATGTCAGTAGCTCTCTGGCCTCAAAATGCATCTCTTTTAAATCTGAGAATAGACTTTTTTTTTTTTTTTTTTGAGACAGAGTCTCGCTCTGACATTTGATGGTTGATTCTTTCTGACTTCAGGGAGTAGAGGTGTATTAGTCCATTCTCACACTGCTATAAAGATACTACCTGAGACTGGGTAATTTATAAAGAAAAGAGGTTAAGTGGACTCACAGGTCCGCATGGCTGGGGAGGCCTCAGGAAACTTACAATCATTGTGGAAGTCGAAGGGGAAGCAAAGCACTTCTTATATGGCAGCAGGAAAGGTAGAGCGTGAGGTGGGAAACACTTTTAAACCATCAGATCTCATGAGAACGCACTTGTTATCACGAGAACAGCATAGGGGAAACTGCCTCCATGATCCAGTCACCTCCCACCAGTTCCCTCGCTAACACATGGGGATTACAGTTGGACATGAGATTTGGGTGGGGACACAGAGCCAAACCATATCAGTAGTTTGCGTGGTAGTGGTCAAGGTAGTGATTTCATTCTTGTTTTCTCCTTCCTTTCTAGTTTTCAATGGTTCCAGCAGGTCAACACGGGAGAAGGAACCTGTTCAAAAACACAAAAGCAAAGAGGCCACTCCCGCAAAGGAGAAGCACAGCGATCACCGGGCTGACAGCCGCCGGGAGCAGGCTTCAGCTAACCACCCCGCAGCGGCCCCCTCCACGGGTTCCTCGGCCAAGGGGCTTGCTGCCACCCATCACCACCCCCCTCTGCATCGGTCGGCTCAGGACTTACGGAAACAGGTAAAGTCCAGCAGGGGTGCCTACATGTGTGCCAGACCCCAGTTTCCCACTTCACTTCACCAAGCTAAAAATTCATCTTCAGAGGGCTCAAGAAGCAGGAGGTGATGCCCAGAAGCAAGACAGGGACAGACAGAGCGCACCTTTGCATGAGCTGCAGGCGCCTGCACCTTTTGTCCTGCGAAGATCCATCAGTTGGATTTGCATTCATCCCTGGGTGCCACTGCATTCACCAAGAAAGTGAACTCACTTTTTTACTTAAGCCTTCTCCCACCCACCCACCCTGGGCTCCAGATGAGCGGTAGAGTGGCAGGGAACATGTTTTTCTCAGGGTAGGTTTTGAAACACACCTGCAAATGGGATAGTTCTGTTAATGGATGATCCTGGTCTACTTTTCTGTTCTTTTTGATGTGACAAGTTAACATTTCACCACCTGGCCTTTGAAGCAGAATATGTGCATGCTGTGTGCACTGCCGAGCAGTCTGTGGAACTGGGTGTGGCTGGGTGGCACCTCTTCCACTGAAGGCATTTGAGTCCCAGGCTGTAGCATCCACAGAGTGTAGGTGGCTGCCACCCTGACCACCTCCTGCCCCTGCCTGTCCTGCGCTGTCCCCCCACCCGCTATCCCCCAACAGGGCCACAGATAATGCCGGTTCTGGTGAGGCAGTTTTGAAGAATCCCTCAGGGCTTGGCCATTATTGCTGTCCAGATGTTCCCATTCCTGGACATTGATTTCTCACAACCCTAGGGATGAGTAGTGGGGATAAGGGCAGGTTCCTGCAGGCACACAGCTGAGGGCTTGTCCCCGGACAGGTGGCATTTCACTGATGCCTCGTGCTCCTGTTCCCCCCTCCATTTTAACATCCGCTAAGTCATGGGATCATTGATGAGCTTTCCTCACAGAGTTAAAAATAGAGGGTTAAAATCTTCCCTAGAAGAGACTGGAGGCTATGATCCTTAAAGGTAGCTTCAGAGGAAGTTGTAGAGGGGACGGAAGAGATTTCCTGGCTGGCAGTGTTGCAGAGTGACTTACATGGTTATTGTGGTGTGAAAATACTCGATTTCGTCTTGCGGTAGAGGTGGCCTTTCTCATTCTTGGTGACGTTGTGGATATTTCTCTCTGAACGTGAACATGTGACTATAGTCACACATAGGCAGACAGGTATGTATGCATGCACATGTGAACCTTTACCTAGCAAATAGTATGCAGTTGGGGGGGTGGGCATGGCAAGAATCACCACATTTACATTTCCACAGTCCACACACACCTAGCACATATTAAACACTGGCCACTGTTGGCCAAAACAGACCTCAGTTTTCCCAGAGACAACAGCCACGGTGTGGAATTGGGCCACACCATGTGCTCACCTGGCGTCTCTTAACCATTGGGCCCCGGATTGTCAGCACTGGAGGCACAAAGCCCAGGGAGGCACCGAGCTTTGGTCCTGGGTCTGTGATTCTTCACTCCCCCGCTGTTCCCAATGCTGTTGGTCTGATGGAGAATTGTACAGAACTCTCCAATGTGTAAGGTTTTTGCTCATGAAAGAGAACAGAATTAGAAGCAACCCAGGGAGAAAGACAGAAAGACAGTGATTACACCATGTGACTGCATCCTGTCTCCTTTCCCAGAATCCTAGAGTAGGGTTAAGTTGTTTTTGTTTATCTTCTATTCATCCCACTATGCTTTTTTGAGTTTTTTTAGTTTACTTGTGGTAAAATTCTCATGGGCCACATCAGAACTGGAGGCCATATCCAGGTGAGCTTCCAGATCTTGCCTTTCTGCCCTGAGAACCCATCCTTGGGATGGCGAGGCAGGAATGAAGGGTGGCAGAGGACCTGAGTCATGTACATGTGACTGTTCATGTTCTCATGCACGGACAGACACGGGTGCGCACATCCTCTTGCACGGTCACGAATAGGGATGCGTGGGATACGCCTGTCATCTCAGCTGGTCAGAGCTCACTCTCAGCACTTGGCCTTCATTCAGTTCAAGGTTTTCATTTGTAAGGGGATGAGAGGAATTAGTACAGTTGGACAGAGGAAAGAGCTGAGGAGGAACAGAAAGTACTGCCTTAGCCTGGGATGGCCCTGCCTGCCCCCATGCTCCATGGCGTGTTCGTGTGACCTGTTCCCTGTGCAGGATCTTAGGTGCAGGAAAGAGGTCCTGGGGTGCCCCTCACACAGCCGGCCTCTGTCCTCTGAGTTAGTGCAGGAGTTTCAGCTGCTTCCGGGGCTCAGGGTAGAGTCCTTGCAGGGAGCGCCATGTGCTCATGCAGGGCATCCTGCAGGTGTTGACGGGGATCCTCTCCTGTCACCCTTTCCCCACTTTCTCCCTCTTCCCTCTCCTCCTCCTTCCCTGTTCCAGTCTAACCAGCCCAGATGGGTTGACCCATGGCTCCAGATTCTAATTTGGCTCTGACTCTGACCTTCAATGAGACTTGAGATGTGATATTTAACCTTCCTGGGCCCTATTATTCCTTTGGAGCCAGTCTGGCCAACTCCTTATACCAGGGACATTGTGAGAAATAAAAGGAAAATTTTCAAACCCTCAGATCCTATTAGTTAAGTACTCTGAAAATAAGGTCAGTAAAAGCAAATTGTAGATTCCCTTGTGACTGCTTGATACAAGTGATTAGACTGTGACCTTTCATCTTTTCAACTGCATGAAAGATATGGGCCCAGAGGATACTCTGATCTTTCATTTCAAATATGATATGTGGATTTTTTTTTGTTATTGTTCAGCTTAAAAGCATAAATGTGACTGTATTGAAATGTGGAGGAATGTAATTTTTAGGGGGTGCTGCCGAGAAGTGCCTTTGCTCTGCTTGCTATAATGAACTGTGTGGGTGCATGCACCTGTCTTCCAAGTCTAAAACCACTTCCCCTCGTGCGAACTGGGCAATGCCATTTGATAGTGTGTGCGATTTATGGAGTCCCTAGAACCCGAGAGTTAGAACACACCAGTGCGTACTTCACCTAAGCCTTTTTCTTGGTGAGAGGGCTCTGGCCCCGGCCGTTTACTCTCGATTATACCAAATGAGCTGTCTTTGTCATGGAATGCACATGCCTGTATAACATTGCATTGTCATGGGGCTGGGAGTGCCCCTGGGTAATAATTTGGTTGTATGGTAAGGGTCTCACCAAGGAGCAAATGGTGTTTTTCTGTTGCTTTCCTGCAGTAGTACTTCTGCTTACATGCAGTGACAGAAAGTAACAAGTTTAGGATAGTCCAACAGACGAGCTTTATTTCTAGCAAGGGTTTTGAAGTATTAGTTTTCCAAGAGAGTCATGAGCAGGTTTTGTACTTGTGTAGAAATTTGTGTGGTTTGTAAGCCAGGATATTGAACCAGATGTGGCCACATGTGATTCTCATTTCTTACGCTGAGGCTGAGTGTGAGAAGAAAATGATCAACTGGCTAATCCCACTGGTTTTGCAGGACCTTCCATTGAGCTATAGGCTACTGTCACTGAAGAGGTTTTCATATGAAAATGTACAAGCCTTGCAGAAAAATCCTGCCCTAGTAAGATTCAGAGAGGGCCAAGGAATTGAGAATATTCTTTTAAAGTTCTGGAAAATACGGCTATTGAGAAGGAAACATAGAAAATCATATTAGTTTTTAAAAAAGTTAAAGGTTTTCTTCTCATGACATTATTTTGTCATTTGAATTGCACTTGCTGGTGGTGGGGTATTTGTGACTCAGTTACATTGCCTTCAGTGGGAGGAGAGGTTATAGGTACATCTAGATTGCCCAGTGGAACCCAGGCATCTCTTTTAGAGCACATTTGCCTTGGCCTTGGCCTTGGCTAGGAGGCTCCTGCCCATCTGCTGCTGCGGTCAGTGTTTGAGCAGGCTGCTCCTCCCCTTCCATAACTCACTGTCTGTCCAGTGCATTTCGCTTCTGTTTAGGCTCTTTGTTTTTGATTCAAGTTTTAAAGTGCAAATGGACTACCCCCAGCCACCAACTGTTTCTCTCTCTGGGCCTCTGGTTCTGTTTTGAAAGGCTGGCAGAGGCCTCGGCTCAACGGCTCCCTCTCGTGGAGAAGAAGAACTTGCCAGTGAATCTGAGGTTGAACTGAGGACAGCGTCATAATCTTGAACGACTAAAACATTTTTGCTTAGTTAACCAAAAACATCAGAGTCATTTCTCATCTTCTGCTCTGCCTTGGAAGTGCATGTTTCTCCTTTTCATCTGTCATCATACTGAGTTGATTTAAATATTGTGTGTGTCGGTGGTGGGGTGGAGAAAAACCCATAAGGATGGAGGGGAGAGATTTTATATTCTTAAAGCAAGCACACAGAGTGTGGATTGGGTACAGTTTTTAAGATGGAATTTCTGTTATTAAGAACAAAGTCAGGTAGGAACGTTTGATGTCCTGGACTTTCATATCTCTCACCTTATATCCCTTCTGCAAGAAGAATGAGGTATTGTTGCCAGTACTCATCTGGCCGAACGTAACTTGAAAATGCTCTCAACCTTGCCTGTTAAATTGAAACCATTCTCTTATGACTAGGAGGGATTGCTTTAATATCTCATGGCCGTGTGCCTGGGATCACCTGAGATACAGGTGACGGATGGCTGTGGGCCAAGGAGCACACGCTGCAGACACCTCACTTTCTGCAGAGCTGGGTTGGGGGCTGGGGGCAATGGGCTGAGAAGCCAGAAATCCACAACAGAGCTGAGAGAAGGAGTAACTTCAAGCACTTATGTATAAAGCTGCTCAGCTGAAATGTATTGTCATTCAATGGAGGGTCCTGCTGTAGCCCACGTCGGCGCTAATTCTTCAGTGAGTTCAGATGACTTCCTGTGTGTGCTCTTCTGTGGAATCCCTCAGGACGTGCAGCGGTGGCCTTCCTTGTAGTGCACTGGCTGCATAACTGGGGCTGTGTGGTTTTAATTGATACAGAGGTGGGTTGAGGGAGACCTTCGGTAACAAGGTAAGACAATGCCTTCCTCCATTCTTCTGTTTCCTTTTGTACTGATTAAGTGTTGGCTCCTTATAGACAAGTCCAGGCCAGGAAAAGGGGTGTCCTTTTGTTAGATTGGTGGGTCCCAGGTTTCCCCACAATGGTGGTGCTGGCTGGGTTGTTGGTTCTGTTTTATTTCTCCCTTTTAGGACACATGGAGCAGCTTAAGGGGCTTCCTATGTTAGCTTTTCAGCTCCCCTGTGGCCTCTCGTGGTGGGCATAGAACACGGACCCTCTGGGTTTCGAGGAGGAAGATGGCCAGTGACACTTGCCTTTTTCAGTCTTCGTAATTGTTTGAACTTCGCTGGTCTGTGTTGTGGGTGAGATCCATCTAGTCTTTGAGCTTGTTATATGGGCATGCGTGTGTGATATCTGGGTGGATACTGTTGAAGATAACTCCTATAATAAGAAGGAAAATATTGCAACTCATTTCTCTCATAAAGCAAGTTATTTGAATGTATACCTTGCCAATAATTCAGTATTTAGGTTTTCAGAAAGATGTAAACAAGGTGTTCCTTTTGCCATTGAAGATAGTGATATATAGAATTCAGCTGTGTTGAAAATTTACTTCCCTGTAGCATTGCTAGCCATGAACTCAGGTGCCCCCGAGAAGCCAGAATGGATGGAACCAAAGGCCTTACACTCTTATTTGAGATAGAATATGAGAGACATAGCACTCTGGTATTTGGACAGCGGTGTTAGGGAAGGGTAGGGTCCACGGATTTGTGGGAACACTGAGACATCTGAGGCTTTTAAACACTGATTCCCTTTCTTGATCCTCACCAATTAGCACAGAATCTAGAGGGAAGGGATTTACATTATTTTGAAGCTCCCCTAAGGGTTTTAGGGGTGCCAGGTTTGGAAAACACTGAACTAAACCTCAGCAAGTAGTGGTGGCTGATGCCTGAACCTCACAGGAGTTGGGTTATGTCCGGCACCATCTGGAGTTTGCCATTTTGATTAGCGATATACGAAGCCGCACTGTGTCCGTCTCCTTAAGGAGACTCTTGTGCTGGGAGTAGGGCTGAAACAGATTGCACCCCTACAGGTTAAAAGGAGATTGAGCCAACTGTAGAGGTGTTGTCTTTTGCTGTCTGAACCTGAGATAGAGCCCTTCCCCAAGGTCCTGGATTCCCTGAGGCCCATTCCCCCACCCCCACCCAGCCCCACCAGCCTTTGTTGCTGGAAATAAAGATCAGCCCCAGCTGGAGTTTACTGTTTGCTTTTGTTTTTCTAAATGTTTTGTCTTGTTTTGGTTTTAGTGGAAGCATTTGAAAGAACAATTAAAACTAAGAGATTTGCATTCCTCACTATACCTCCTCTTGCAGATTAACAGTACTTACCACGGAATATTTCTGTTTGTCCTTACCCCTGGTTTTATAAATCTGTTTTAAATTTATCATTGCCAGGTGCTTTTTTTCCTCTCCAAAAGGGTTTCGCATTATTTATTCCAGACCGTCTGTCAGTCCCACTTTTTTTATGGGTGACTCATGGTTTAAGAGCCAGAGTGTGATTCCTGGGTCTTCGCTTCTGCCTCTTCATGGGGCCTGAGATCTGGCTCTAGGAATGAGGCCTCCATGGGCCTGGCTCCTAAGAGATGATGTCCTACCAAGAATTTGTGGCTTTGATTGGACTGCACTTAATTGGTGGCATATAGAGAAATACAGGTCTCAGTGGCTTCTTTCCTTTTTGATTTTTATAAACTTCACTGATACTTCATTCAGTGGTTCCAAGCGCGGTCCCCAGGTCAGCACACAGCATCACCTGGGACTTGGTTAGAAATGCACATTCTCAGTCCCATCCCAGACCCTCTGACTTGGACACTCTGCCGGTAGGGCCCAGTGATGTGTTTACATCAGCCCTCTAGGGGATGCTGAGAGCCACTGGTTTGGATGTTTTTGGCAAGTCTTTTTTTTTTTTTTTTTTTTGAGACAAGAGTCTCGCCCAGGCTGGAGTGCAGTGGCATGATCTCGGTTCACTGCAAACTCCACCTCCTGGGTTCACGCCGTTCTTCTGCCTCAGCCTCCCAAGTAGCTGGGACTACAGGCGCACACCGCCACACCCAGCTAATTTTTTGTATTTTTAGTAGAGACGGGGTTTCACCGTGTTAGCCAGTATGGTGTCAATCTCCTGACCTTGTGATCCACCCGCCTCGGCCTCCCAAAGTGCTGGGATTACAGGCGCCTTTGGGAAGTTTCATTCCATGCCCCACCCCCACTTAAGGGGGGTCCTGGGCCAGGCCTAGGTTTAGTACAAAGGTCACTAAGACTCATTACCCGCCATCTGGGGACCTTCGTCCCCATGTGACAGCAGCCTGCACAGCCTTGTGGTGGCACTGGTGTTTCAGTACCCTCTGGGCCATCACTGCATGTGGCCAGCTCTCCTGACCAGGAAGTGCAGGCTCCCCCGACCCTGGCACCTTCCTCTCGGGCTGTTGGGGAGAAGAGGGGGCTAGTATTCTGTGTTTCTCAGTAATTTTGTGATTTTTAGGCTTCTTCCTTTGGAGATGGTGGTGGTTATAAAACCCTGAAGTCCCTGACTTTAACCTCATATCATAGACGAAAAGTAATGCCCAAGGTGTTAAGTGATGGGGCAGTGGCCACATTGTGACGCAGAGAAGACATCTTCTCGAAACCAGCATGTCTGGCAGCAGCCCATTGGGGTCCCTTCATTATTCTTGTTTGAAGCTTGTGCATTTCTAGTGTCTGCCATTGTCGCTCCCCATTTTCGCTGACGTTTGTGTGTCCCAAGATTACCACGGCGTCCAAGCTGTAAGACTGTCTCTGTTTGCCCAGGTCCCATAGAACCTGATGGGAAAGTTTGTCCAGGGTGGAAGATACATGGGACAGTTTGTAAACGGTGGGAAAATATAGGAAGCGCGTGTGCAGACGAGGGTTGGCATGTGTTGCTTCAACAGTGAGGTCGGGGCATCCCTCTTCCATCCAGCCTGGCCCTGTCCAGGGCTCGTCTCCACAAGGAAAGCAGACAGCAGCTGCTGACAGTTTGCAGCCACACCTCTGGGCCTGGCCTGCCACCCGGAGCCAAACCACATGAGCACTGCTGTTCTTTTGCTTCCATAGTATTTTTGTTTTCCTTCTTTTTTTAGCCATAGATTTCTAAATCCTGTGGGCAGGTCATGCTGCTATGTGGAGCACAGAAATAGCAGACATGACTTTTCTTGGAACAGGGATATGTGTGTGTGTCTGTCTCCACTTCCCCCAAGGAAGCAGGATCTTGCTGTCATCAACTCTGAGAAGCTCAGGACAGGTGATTGCATGGCACGTGGGGAGGTCTTCATTGTGAAACACCAAATTTCCTGGAAGAGCAATGGGAACGTGAAAATGCACCCAGGAAACCCCGCTAGGAAGCGCCTGGGGCAGTTTGCATACTTCTGTGACGAAGGATAGGTATATAGTGGATTCTGAAAGTGGACATCGCTGCTTAATTCTTGGATGTGTATTTTGCTTCTCTTTGCTGGTATTTCCACATCTCTTCTTATCACACTACAGGCTGCTGGCTCTGTTCATCCCCAGCATCCAGGGTCCTTTCTCACGGGTGGGCCGGTCATTTTAGTGGCAGGTACTAATTCTGCGTTTTTTTCCACCTCTGCTTCTGCTGCTCCACAGGTTTCTAAGGTAAACGGAGTCACTCGAATGTCATCTCTGGGTGCAGGTGTAACCAGTGCCAAAAAGATGCGCGAGGTCAGACCTTCACCATCCAAAACTGTGAAGTACACTGCCACGGTGACGAAGGGGGCTGTCACATACACCAAAGCCAAGAGAGAACTGGTCAAGGACACCAAACCCAATCACCACAAGCCCAGTTCCGCTGTCAACCACACAATCTCAGGGAAAACTGAAAGTAGCAATGCAAAAACCCGCAAACAGGTGCTATCCCTCGGGGGGGCGTCCAAGTCCACTGGGCCCGCCGTCAATGGCCTCAAGGTCAGTGGCAGGTTGAACCCAAAGTCATGCACTAAGGAGGTGGGGGGGCGGCAGCTGCGGGAGGGCCTGCAGCTGCGGGAGGGGCTGCGGAACTCCAAGAGGAGACTGGAAGAGGCACACCAGGCGGAGAAGCCGCAGTCGCCCCCCAAGAAGATGAAAGGGGCGGCTGGCCCCGCCGAAGGCCCTGGCAAGAAGGCCCCGGCCGAGAGAGGTCTGCTGAACGGACACGTGAAGAAGGAAGTGCCGGAGCGCAGTCTGGAGAGGAATCGGCCGAAGCGGGCCACGGCCGGGAAGAGCACGCCAGGCAGACAAGCACATGGCAAGGCGGACAGCGCCTCCTGTGAAAATCGTTCTACCTCGCAACCGGAGTCCGTGCACAAGCCGCAGGACTCGGGCAAGGCCGAGAAGGGCGGCGGCAAGGCCGGGTGGGCGGCCATGGACGAGATCCCCGTCCTCAGGCCCTCCGCCAAGGAGTTCCACGATCCGCTCATCTACATCGAGTCGGTCCGCGCTCAGGTGGAGAAGTTCGGGATGTGCAGGGTGATCCCCCCTCCGGACTGGCGGCCCGAGTGCAAGCTCAACGATGAGATGCGGTTTGTCACGCAGATTCAGCACATCCACAAGCTGGGCCGGCGCTGGGGCCCCAACGTGCAGCGGCTGGCCTGCATCAAGAAGCACCTCAAATCTCAGGGCATCACCATGGACGAGCTCCCGCTCATAGGTAGGTCTGGGCGGGGGGTCAGGGGGTGGTGCCTGCCCTCCTGCCCCCAGATCCCTGCAGTTCCCTCACAGTCTTCACGTTCTCTTCCCTTGCGAAAGCTCCAGTTCCGCTTCCCTGTCTCGGGAGTAGTGGGCTTCTCAGCTCATTCCCCCTGCAGCCCTTCTTCCCAGGTCCTGGGCGTTGGTGGCAGGATAAGAATGGTATTGAGCTGCCGGGCGCGGTGGCTCACGCTTGTAATCCCAGCACTTTGGGAGGCTGAGGCGGGCAGATCATGAGGTCAGGAGATCGAGATCACGGTGAAACCCCGTCTCTACTAAAAATACAAAAAAATTAGCCGGGCGTGGTGGCGGGGGCCTGTAGTCCCAGCTACTTGGAGAGGCTGAGGCAGGAGAATGGCGTGAACCCAGGAGGCGGAGCTTGCAGTGAGCCGAGATCACACCACTGCACTCCAGCCTGGGTGACAGAGTGAGATTCCGTCTCAAAAAAAAAAAAAAAGTATTGAGCTTGGATCTGGGGTGAGCCCCCACTCTGGGTCTGGGCCCCTTGCTTCCCCTGGGCTGTCACCTCCTACCCACAACTGCTGGAGTTAAAGCAGGGGCCGGGGGGCCAGTGGGGAGCGCTGCCCCTCTGGATTCCACACTGGATTATAGAGGCTGGAAGCCCAAGGTCTAGGGGCCAGCAGGGTTGGTTTCTCCCGAAACCAACAAGACCTCCCTCCTTGGCTTGTGCATGGCTGTTTTCTCCCTGTGTCCTCACAGGGTCCTACCTCTATGTGTGTCTGTGTCTTCATCTCCTCTCCTTAGAAGGACATTGGATTAGGGCCCATCCTACTGACCTCTTTCTAACATAATTACCCTTTTGAAGACCCTGTCTCCAAATTCATTCATGTCCTGAGGTACTGGAGGTCAGGGCTTCAACATATGAATTTGGAGGGATCACCATGCAGCCCATAGCCCTCTAGGGTCCTGTAGGCCATTTTTTATCCTGCTCAGCCTTGTCTCTTCTTCCTCTGAGCTTCAGTTTCTCTGGCGATTTTGTCAAGGCCACAGGTCAAGGGATCTGTTGACCTTTTTTCTGAGACCAGGTTTTTTCTGAGACCTTTTTTCTGAGCTCTGGCTGGGGCTGTTGGAAACTTGTCACAGTGGATCCTTAGTGAATGCATATCTGGGCTGTCATGCAGACCCTTGCTCCTCAGGGTGGGTTGCAGGCAGATCCTCCTCTTGGGTTCCCCTGTAGCCCTCCTTCCCTGTCATCCTCTCTTCAGTCCTGCCACTGGGGACACAGGGTGAGGATGAACTTGCCTTGTTAAGGCTAAGTGGATTCTGTGGAGTGAGGTGCATCCAGGTAAGGTTGCAACCCCATCAGTCTAGACCCATGGGAGGAAACAGGCCACACCTCCATTTTGGAGATCCTCAATTTTCAAAGGCATGGAGACGTGTAGCCATCATTTAAGTGTCAGGGATTTGGCAGCAAGATAGGCTTCCAGGCAGGATGGAGGTTTCGTGGTTCCCCTCAGCAGGTGCCTGCCAGGACTGATGCCTGAGTGACAGTCACCTTAACTTGCAAGAGTTCTTGGTTTGTGCTCTGCTGTTGGGAATAGCACGTGATAGGAAGCAGTGCAGGGAGCAGGCTCTGCACACGCGTGCACCCACGCCCGCTGACCACGCCCCATGACTACTTGGGACACAGGATGACTGAGTCAGTGATGGAACCGCACCAAGTCCTCCTGCCTTTGGAGACCTGCAGACAGGAGGGAAACATTCCAAGTTTCCCTCCTCTGCTAGGTGGATGATGGAGCCTCGAGAGCACACTTGACATCGTAGTGACAGCGCCTTTTGTTTAGAGTAGGTTTTTCTTTACCCTCGACTCCCTTACCCTGGGACAAAAGCCATACTGTGCCTCCCTGTGGTGTGCTTATGCTTGTTGCCGTCACCCAGAAGTCTAAGGCGTCTGACATTCTGTCCCAGGGGTACTGACCTGTCTGTGACCCAGCAAGGCCTCAGGGCTGGGGTCTGAGCTCAGCCATCTGACAGTGGTAGAAACTTAATAACTTTGAAGTAATAGCCTAAAATCCACCCCAGCAGATGTGCCTTCTGCCTCTGTGTAGGTTCACTTCCACCGCAGGTCCCAGGGAGCCGCCGTGCCGCTGGCGGGAGTTGGGTGGGGAAGGGGCTCGGCCACGTAGCAGCCTCAAGGCCCTGAGTGGGAGTGATCGCAGCGGATGAGGATTCCATGAAGAATTCTTGCAAGCGCTGTGTGATTTTCAGGTGCTCTTGCGTTATAATCTACTTAGAGTGAAATATGAAAGTGTGGATTTCCTCCCTTCTGTGACCTGTGTTCTGAGTCACTCGGACGGTGGAGGACTTGTTTTGGTTGGGGGACTCGTTTTGGTGCCTACCTCTGTAAGTTGAGACAGTACCCACCTGCCCTCGGAGGAAGAACTCCCGATTGTCAGCCAGAGCCACCGTGAGTCCCACCTGTGACTCTGGGAGTCTGTGAGACCTGGAGTTTGTTGTGGAGTCTCAGTTCTTAGGTCCCTCCTGTCGAGGCTGGGGACAGTTCCCTCATGGATGTTACCCCAACTCCCCTGTTCTCCACAACCACATCAGTCCACTGTCCTGCCATTTAGTGTGAGTGGAATTCAGGCTGCTGTGTCCCCATCCCTGGTCTTGCTGGTGTGCTGGGAACTCGCTCTCTGTGTGTGCTGTGTCTGCCGAGGTGGTTCAGACGCTTCACCTAGTGGGTCCTGTCATGCTTGGTATGTGCAGCGACCCTGCCTGGACTGGATCCGTGCACACTTTACCTTTTATTACTTAAAAACAATATATCCCCACACTCTAAAGATTTAAAACGTTGTTAATTTGTACTTTGTTTAGTATTTTGTTGATGGTTATTTTGGAAAATCTCCCCTACCCCCCTTCCTTTATTTGGCCCGAGGGAGGTTGCTTTCTCCATTCCCATCTAGAAAAGCCACTGGGCGCGCGTTAAAACCTGCCCAGGTTTGATGTGCATTTGCGCTGCTCTGTGGCCTGATCAGGAGGGGCACTGAGCACCAGCTTATGCACTGAGAAGCAGCCCGCTGTCTGGATGGGCGAGGGACGAGGCATAGATGTGCTGCCCTGTGTCCTCACGCAGGTGTTGCTCTTTGCTCTGGAAATCCAGCAGGATGGAAAATAGACTTCCTTTGTGTGAGTGAGTGGGTGGATGGGTGAAGTTGAGTGAGTGAGTGGGTGGGCATTGGGAATTATAGAAGGGGAATTGGGAGTTGGTAACAAGCATGTGTCAAAGCTATTCTAGGTGACGCTGGGCCGTGGGTGCAGCCAGGACCCCTACCCACTCCTCACCAGGGAGCTAGTCTTCTCATGACACCCGCCTCCATGTGACAACACATGTACCAGTACATGGTACACTGGGATGTTCCTCCCTGTATGTCTGTCTGGCCAGCTCGCATCCTTTTCCAGCCAAGCCCCAGCTTAAATGCTGCCTCCTCAGACGCTCCCCACCTAAAATGGTAGTCCCTCGTTCCACCTGCTCTTCGTAGCAAGTGGTCATGACCCATCATTTTGTAACGCCCTTCTCTCTGTGGACCGGGAGTCTGCTGTTCACCACTCTCACCCCAGAGCCTGTCAGAGTCCTGGCTCATAGTAGGAGTTCAAGAAGTACAGGTTGAATGAGGAACATCTTGTTCGTGTCTCTTTCACTAACTGTCCCGTTTTTTTCCCCTTCGCTGTCCCAGGGGGCTGTGAGCTCGACCTGGCCTGCTTTTTCCGGCTGATTAATGAGATGGGCGGCATGCAGCAAGTGACTGACCTCAAAAAATGGAACAAACTAGCAGACATGCTGCGCATCCCCAGAACTGCCCAGGACCGGCTGGCCAAGCTGCAGGAGGCCTACTGCCAGTACCTACTCTCCTACGACTCCCTGTCCCCAGAGGAGCACCGGCGGCTGGAGAAGGAGGTGCTGATGGAGAAGGAGATCCTGGAGAAGCGCAAGGGGCCGCTGGAAGGCCACACAGAGAACGACCACCACAAGTTCCACCCTCTGCCCCGCTTCGAGCCCAAGAATGGGCTCATCCACGGCGTGGCCCCCAGGAACGGCTTCCGCAGCAAGCTCAAGGAGGTGGGCCAGGCCCAGTTGAAGACTGGCCGGCGGCGACTCTTCGCTCAGGAAAAAGAAGTGGTCAAGGAAGAGGAGGAGGACAAAGGCGTCCTCAATGACTTCCACAAGTGCATCTATAAGGTAGGGGCCTCCGCAGAGCAGCCACTCCCAGCTGCAGGAGTGCGGGAGGAATGAGAGAGGAAGTGGAGCGTGCTATGCACTGGACGGTGTGTTCTCTGATTCCCTGGGGTGATGAGGGGGCGGGCCACTGTGCTGGGTGATAGCGCTGTATTAGTCCTCTCGTGTTGCTGAAATACTACAGACTGGGGAATTCATAATAAACAGAAATGTACTGGCTCCTGGTTGTGGAGCCTGGGAAGTCCAATATCGAGGAACCTAGTGAGGGCCTTGTGGGTGCGTTGATGGGGCAGCAGGAGACCCAGTGAGGGAGGGGAAGTCCACTCCACGAAGATACCACGAGTCCATTCCGCCTGCCTAGGGCCTCGGGTTTCCTTTTCATTAACTGGCTTGCGTGTGCGTGTTGCATGCACGTGCACACATCTCCATATGCCAGGGATAAGTAACTGGGCTGCATGCTTCGTTTCCCCTGCTTCTCCAGTTCCGTTTCATCCTGGTGCTCGACAGCTGCCCAGATCCAGCTGAACTTCTCACTGGCTGGACCGTCAGTGGACTCTGTGCGCTTGTTTTCTCTGTTTTCTATCCGCTCACCTCACTGCCAGCCCAGCGTTGCCAGGTCCTCTCTGTGGAGAGCTATCCCTGATAAAGCCATCAAAATGAATCTCACCATTCACACGCTGTGGAGGGAAGAGCTGGGGAGAAACCAGCAAACTGAAACATGCAGCGTTTCCCTGTCTCCGCCAGGTCTCCCGGCAGCACACTCATCCTGAGGAGACTCGCCCCTCCAAGAAGCAGGGGAGGCAGAGTCCGTGGCTCTCCTCTTGGCAGCTCTCCCAGCTGTCCTGGCTCTGAAGCAAGGCTTGGGGTTTCCTCCCTTCTCCAGCCTGCCAGTGGGTAGCGGGGCACCCGGGGCCCAGCTGGCCGAGCTCAGCTAAGTTGAAGTCTCTGCTGAGTTTCCCGGCACAGACTTGTCCTCTGTGGTCCCAGTTCTGGATTCACTGGAAGGGAAGCGTTCTCTGCTCCAGCCCTCGTGAGCCTGGTGGGAGTGTGTGGCTAGTGGGTTTCGGCAGCATTGGGAATTGGCTGTTGGTTATCACTAAACACCACCATACCCTCAGGTGCCCACGGCTGCCTGACTGCAGGCTCTGGCCTGGCCTTGTAGTTGAGGCAATGCGGGCTTCTGATACCATCACACATCTTAGAAATACGGAGGAAGGGTTGACTTGACTCCTGGCGTTGCTGCTTCACTTTAAGTCCAGGCCCTGCAGACCCGCCTCAGGCTGCATCTCATGTCCTTGCACACTTCTCTGGAAAGAGGTACCCAGTTTTTCTGGCCTGAGACCCTGAGAGGGTTTGGCTCCCTTTTATCTGAGTCTGCTCTCCCATTGCCCAAGGCTGCCTGGTGGGGATGCGGTGTGGGGGTTGCTGGATGCAGCCTGCCAAGTGTGACCCAGAGACTGTAAGCTCTGAGGAACTTTATTTGGTGTTTCCTGAATGTTTTACTGAGAAGCCTTTGTCAAGTAAAGCCACTCAGTGAATCCTGTGACTGAATAGCCAACTGGTGAAATGAGAAACTGTCAACGTTTTTACTTTTTACTGAAGGAGGCCAATTCTGTGAGCGTATGTTTGATTCAAATAAGAGGTTTGGATTTGTTTAAATCCACCCCGTCAAGGGTATTTCTAGATTTCATCACGGAAATATAGTGGAGCTCTGCGTGGTGGCCATGGCGAAGCCCCCAGCAGCCGTGTGCCCACGGGTAGGGACCGTGAGCACGCAACTCTCTGTGGCACCGGTGTCCTGGCTGCTGACTTTGGTCTGCTGGTGTCATCCTCACCTCCACTCATTGCACTCTGCCTTGGTGCAGAATTCAGTCCCTCCTTTTTTATATTTACAAGAAACAGACTATCAGGAGCGGCTTGGAATTTGCATGGAAGTACGTTCCTGTAGTTAGAACCCCATCTAGTTCCTTTGCTGCAGGAGAGAAAGGCACAAGCCAATGTCTCCATGCCGACTACGACTGTGGACCCAATGGCAGAAAGCATCTGCTGCTCCCTGTTGTGGCCCTATCACTTCTAGGGGGACGCTGCGGTGTCCAGTGCTCCGCAGGGAAGCCTTCCCTGACCACCCTCCCCCACTCTACATGACACCTGGCACCTCCTCCCATCCCATATTTGTGTGTTTGAGGCCTGTGTCTTCCCCAGACTGAATGGAAGCTCCTCGAGGTTTTGTGTGTTTCATGCACTGCTCTGTCTCCAGCCCCTAGGATTTGACCTAGTACACCATAGGTGCTCAGGAGATATTTCTGGACTCAAGCAACAAATGTGCCCGGTCAAGTAAGAAAGAAATAGCAAGGGTCTTAGATGGATTCCCTCTGAAAAACGCACCACATTTCGTGTGGTAGGTAAAAGAAGGTGCTGACTCCGGATTCCCAAACTGACTCAGCTGTTTTATCAAAGCAAGCAAATCATTCTGGAAGTTATTGGGAACAGGGCAACAGAGGGGCATCGAAGAAGAGGCGCAGAGGGGACAGCAGGTGGTTCTGTGGAGAGAAGGCGACCAGGTCGCAACCTCAGTGAAGGCTGCTGCCCTGGCAGGTGTTAATATGGCAAGGACTCTCAGGGTGTAGATGTCGCACCAGTTTCTGTCTCTCCAGCTTCTCTCCTGTGGGATCCCTGGTCACGAGTTCCATCAGGTCATAGCTGCTGATAGCTTCTCCGCTGGCCCGCAGCAGCCTTTGTCAGCTGAGGGATTCTGCCTCCAGCACAAGCTGCTTTTTCAGCAGAGCCTTGGAGGGGCCTTCCGCGCTTCTGCTGTGCGTCCGCTCAGGGCCTCTGGGCGGCAGCCTCTGTTCCTGGCAGAACAATTTGGCCCTCATGGGGTTGATCCTTGGTGGAGTCTTCCCACTCCTCTTGGCACTGCGGGTTCTTAGAGAATATATTTCTTCCTTCTCTGCCTGTCATTAACTCAGAATACAAGGTGGCCCACAGCCGCAGGGACGCCAAGGGGCAGCGGCCCATGACAGGTGTCTGGCCTCATTTGCAGTAGGGTTCAGCTTTGCTTCTGAAGCTTTACTGTTTTTTGTTTTGTTTCAGGGAAGGTCTGTTTCTCTAACAACTTTTTATCGAACAGCGAGGAATATCATGAGCATGTGTTTCAGCAAGGAGCCTGCCCCAGCCGAAATCGAGGTGAGAGAAGGGGCCCCTCACGCTGCCTCTCATGGTGTGGGAACCCCTCGGCGAGCTGGAGGACATCCTGTCCTGCCCTGACCCCTGCAGCTCGGTGAACGGAAAGGACTCAGATGGGGCTGAGTTCGTCCTCTGTGTTGAGCGTGCACCAGGGCAGCCAAATGTTTTAACTTAGGTTGATCTAAACTTGTTCACAAGCCAAAAACACTATAATGAAGGTGGGGAGCTGCCGAGTGCAGGGGACGGGTTCTGGGCACGTCCCCTGCTCCCCGTCACTGTCTCCTCCTGCTTGCTCACCCGGCTGTTTCTCACCCCATCCTCTGTGTGTCTGTTATGCAAGAGAATGTTTGGAATCCCTTGAAACCACAGTTGTGCTTTTTCTTCTCTTCTATTTTTTATTTAATGGGATTGGCAGATTGCCATTTTTGTGCTTCTGCCAACTCTCTTCTTTGAGTTAGTATGAGGTTGGAAAGACAGTGAGCACTTCTGTGCCCAGACCAATTAGGGGGAGTTTTTGTGTGCGGCGCTGCAGGACAGAGACCGGATCTGTTTATTTACCTCCCCTCGGCCAGTGCCCAGCTGAGTCCGTGTGAACTTCCAGCTGCTGACGTCGGTGGGCTCTCAGCAGCGCTTGGTCGTGGAAAGGGAAAGAAACCAAACCCGGACTGCTGGTTCAGGGCAGCTGCCGGCCGGGGAACAGGAGGTATTTGCTGACCACAGCCTCATCTTTTAGTGTGTGACAGGCTTTTGCTGTGTTTTTTTTTTTTTTTTTTCCCCTTAATGCCACCTGTTTCAAATAAAATCCAAGGTCGGTTTGCCCCGTGTATACATGCTGACCACTGGGGGTTCAGGTATCTTGTTTTGCCCAGGTTTTAGACCTGTGACCTTCAAACCTGCTCAAACCAGGACAGCTGGTCACCCTCCCTGGGTGGCGTTTGGTGCCCCACCTCCTGATAGCAATTGTCAGAGCTTAGGATGTCCAGCCCTGTGGCCCACCCCTCCCTTCCTAGTGTGGGGAATAGAGGTTTACCTTTCACGCCATTTTCATCGTCTTAGGACCTAGGTCTCTGCTTACGTGCAGGGGCTGCCTACACTGTGTACCCTGGGTGCGGCTGTTGAATGCCACGCAGTGGCCTGACACCCGGCCTGTGGTCATGATTACCGTGCTGCAGCCGCCACTGCCTCACCCACCACCAGCCACGATGTCAGCTGAACCGTGGTCTAGGACACGTGTGGCTTCCGCAGCTGCTTCCAGAGCACGCGTTGCGTTTGTGGTAGAGATGTCAGGCGGAGGACACTTGGCTTTCTGGGGCTGAGCGTTGGACCTGGGAAGAGGCCTTTATTGCCAAACAACACGTGTCCTGTGGGCATCTCCCCAGAGGTGCAGAAGTTTATTATCCATGATGCGCAAGAAAACTTAGCTCATTTTACAGCCTCTTATTCAGGAATTAATTCCCTCTGAAAGTCTGGATTTTGCTCTAGCAGTTGTGTAAATATTTAAACACAAAGGGGAGATTTGCTAGAATTTAAACTTCAGGCCTGGATTGCCTAGCTTCTTGTGCTCTGTATTCCAAAAAAGGCTGGTGGACAGCCCCTGGAGTTGGCCACCACCTGGGAGCAGTCCCTTGCTTCCCTTCCCATGTCTTTACAGGCGCACCAGACGCTGGTTGCCCTCAGTTTCAGCAAATACGCAGCAGGCTTGGGCACTCAGGGAGTCTGTTGAGGGAATCCAGTCATTTAATGTGGAATTCGTTCTTGATTTGTGGAGCTTGACTCCGCCAGGTCGGCCCCCTCTTTGTGGAAGTCACACAGCATTGAGGAAAGTGGTTTTGGTGTTGCTAGTAGCGCTTTGTGGAGCTTAACTGGACCCTATGATGCTGGGGGCTTATGAGTTAGGCTTCTTCCCTAAATGTGGTTCCAGCTTTACCAAGGCTTGTGAGACGAGGGAAGAGGACTTAGTGCTTCTGGAGTGATCACTGAGAACAAAGTGGAAGGTGACTGCGTGGGGAGGCTTGTCTCAAGGGAGCCTGGGCACCGCTGCTTGCCTGTAGTCAAAGCATGTTCTGACCCATTCTTTGCCCCCATATTTGTTTAGATGGGACATATTAAAAGTCACTTCGGAAGCTTTATATAATTGGCGGTTACCGTGCTTAGCATAATGTCCTCCAGGTTCATCTATGTTGTAGCATGTGTCAGAACTGACATCCTTTTACAAGTTGAGTAATAGGCCATGGTATGGACGGAGTAGATTTTGTTCATCCATCTGTGGATGGGATACTTTGGTGGCTTCACCTTTTGGCTGTTGGGAATAACACTGCATAACATGGGTGAGACCCTGCTTTCTGGCATTCTGAGGATATGCCTGGAGGTGACCTGTCATTGCTTTCTGCATTAGCGTCCTGCTGGAGACACTCTGCAAAGAGAGCGTCTGTTCTGAGGGGTGTGTGCACCAGGCATTCGTGTCCCAGTTTTGTTGGGTTGAACTGTGCTCTGTGGCTGCAGCACCTTAGGGGTGCTGACCAGCCCTTTCCTGTTCCCTGCAGCAAGAGTACTGGAGGCTAGTGGAAGAGAAGGACTGCCACGTGGCAGTGCACTGCGGCAAGGTGGACACCAACACTCACGGCAGTGGATTCCCAGTAGGAAAATCAGAACCCTTTTCGAGGTAACCTGGGATTCTCTCGTCCAGGTTCTTGGGGATGTGACTGCATCCTTTCCCCGCCAGTTTGTAACGTCCCTCGTCTTCCCCTTTGCAGGCATGGATGGAACCTCACCGTCCTCCCCAATAACACAGGGTCCATCCTGCGTCACCTCGGTGCTGTGCCTGGTAAGCCTGACTGTGGCCGCCTGCCTGTGGCAGCTGTGTCCATGAGTCCTACTTGCTGAGAACCAGGGCTGGGAAATCCCTTCTAAGCACTGCCGGGGAGGGATGGCGTCTTCAGGCTTACAGGACATACAGTGAAAATTGATTTTTAGAAAAGAAAGGAGTAACATAATGATTGGTGAAGTCAGTAGAAAAGGTGGAAAGGTGAACCGCATGGCAGAGTCTGGAGCTGGGAGAAGCTTAGGGGCCAACTTTGAACCTTGAAATTGCTGCTTTCAAAGCTGAAGTCACAATTCCTTAAGGCTACTGCAGGCTTGAAATCATGAATTCTCAGGATGGTCAGTAGGCTCGTAAGGGACGGATGGATGCTTTGCAAACTTCAGGGAAAGCCAAGGGGTCATGGAGGTTGTGGTCACCATGAATGTGAAGGCCCAGGCCTTGGCGAAAGTGGCTAGGAACCTGTCCGGGTCCTGGAACCTGACTCATTTCTGAGCTGAGCCAAGGAGCCCTGTGCCCTACTCACCCTGCTCAGAGGCCTTACCAACAAAGGGGCTTTCTTGCTTTCTGCCTCTGGCCCTGATGGGGGTTTTTGGGTTTGGCGCCTCTGGTCCTCAGCCTTGAGGCTTGGGGGCTTCGGCCCGTGGGCGGCCGGTTCCTCGGCATTCCTCACCAGGTCAGGTTCCTGCGGCCACCTCCCTCATGAGGCCGACGTGCTCCTGATGTTTTGAAGCGGTGTTCATATTCTCCCACTTCTGTAGAGCAAGCAGGAAAGAGTAGGTACCTTCTGCTCACTGTCTTTTGTCTGGCTTTGAGTCCCATTTCTTTTCCTTCTTGTTTTAGCGGAAGAAAGAGATTTTTACTTACTGTTCCTTTGAGACCTTGTTGCCTAGCTTTTAAAAATGCCCTTTTCACTCTTTCTGTTTTAGGAGTGACTATTCCCTGGCTAAATATTGGCATGGTCTTTTCTACCTCATGCTGGTCTCGAGACCAAAATCACCTTCCATACATTGACTACTTACACACTGGTGCTGACTGCATTTGGTGAGTACTGGCCCCAGGCGGGAAGGGAGGGACTGCAGAAACTACTATTACCACATGAAGTGGGGCCTGTGGGTAACTTCTTGTCCAGGTGGTTCCACGTGCTTGAGAACTTGCTTCTCTGTGTTCAGGCCTGTCCTGCGTTCCCTGCCGAAGCCTGGGCCTGGGATCACCTACCTCTGTTGGAAGAGTTGGGGTGCTGGAGAATGTTGTAACACTGTCTGATGATGAGCAAATCTTTTCATATGCTTAGTGGCCATTTAAGTTCCCCTTAGTTCCTTAAGTTCCCTTAAGAATTACCTACTTACGTCTGTTTTTGTTTTGTTTTGTTTCGTTTTGTTTTGTTATGGATTAGTCACTTTTTCTTGTGGATTTCCAAGAGTTATTTTCACCTTAGGGTTAAGGAACAGTAGTAAAAGTGCCACACAAAGCTAACCAGTAGTAGTGACCGTGTCATCAGCCCTCTAGTAACTGAATATAAACCGTGGTATTTCATGATTGGTTATTTTCAGCCTCTCTGTAGAGCCAGTGTTTCCTCATCTATCGGTGGCTGTGGGGAGTAGAGTTGACTTGGGAATCTCGTTCCTGCCATGTGGAGACACGCGCGTTATGTACCCTGTGGAGTCTGTTGCCTGGCGAGGTGTTCTGGGTCCCCGCCTGTAATCTGACTCTCACTGTAGCCATCCCTGATTGAGGCTGGGTCCCCGCCTGTAATCCTGACTCTCACTGCACCCATCCCTGATCGAGGCTGGACTCTTTGGTGTCTTTGTTTACGGCGGCAGATGGGAAATGACTACAAATAATCAGATGTCTTGTCGTCTGATCGTTTACCGGCATGCTGTTCATGCCATGCTGACTGTGTTTATTGCCCTAATGGGGTGATTAAACATTCTTTATTAAAATAAACAAAGTCTTAGGACTCGTGTTCTCCCTCTTTGGAGCCAGCGTCGGCTGCAGCCTCCTCATTTTGGCTGTTCTGGTGAGTGGTGCTGTGGACATGAGGGAGCCCTCCCTTCCCACATGGGTCTGTGTGCCATGGACGGTGATCATGGTGTCCTGCAGTGGGTCCAGAGTGATGGGCCCGGGAAGCCCAGGCTGTTGCCTGTGGAGCGGGGACTGACAGGAGCCTTGGGGCTTAGCCGGGCCAGGCCACCAGCTGGGGAGGGGACAGCCAGGACTATTCCGAGAGGTGCCTTTGCCTCCGGAAGAAGAGCGTGGCCATTTCCTGTGGAGGAGTTACACTGGCTGTGGCATGGCCTGTGTTCTGGGGTCATCCCCAGGCCAGTGACCTCAGGCCCGAGTTTCTTCCGTGTGGGTTTGCTTATGGCTTGACGTTGAGTCACAGATAGCAAAATGTGATACCCTGTGTGGGCTTTTTGAAGACTCACTCCTGGAACCTCATTGACAGGAGAGAAAGAAAAGGCAGGGATAGGATCAGAGAACATGATGGTGTGTAGTTTTTCTTAAAACATGTGATTTAGGTTAGAAACCCTGTATTTAAATTACCAATCAGTAACAGAATATGTTGGCATTGAAAATAACATGAGCATTAAAAAAAATACTTCCTTCACTGAGCAACTGAAACCAGGATTTGGCCTCAGAGAGAAATGCTTTCATCACAGACACATAGGGGCTGCAGAGTTGCTGCCCGCCTGGACCTGGGGGGCGGGGGCTGTGGGGAGGGGCTGGCGGTGTTGCCCTGAGCTGCTGGCCCACATCTTTGTGTTTAATGGTGGTTGATGGCTTCACTGGCTTAGCATCCTGAAGACCTGTCAGGCCCCTCTCCACACTGATGTCCTCCTCTTGCCTGGGGAGGAGCCCCTCAGACAGCCTGAGACACCCAGGGGCAGGGCAGCCATCCCTGCACCCCTGCCTTGCGGGGGGCCTCCCCTCACATCCCCCTCATTCATGCTGTGAGCCTGACACCAGGGGCGTCACACGTTGTGAGTGGAAGTGTGGCCCTGGTGGGCTCCAAGGACATGGGCAAAACCTCCTCCCCTCCCTGTGATTGCCGTGAGGAGGCCGTGTAGGTTACTTTCTACCTGTACCTCCCACCTTTTCTTACACTTGAGGACCCCTGCCATGGTTATACCCTGGAGGGTCTGTGAGCCACCACTTCCCCAGGCCACCCTCTGACAGAGGCCTATGAGCCCTTGATCCTCCTGTGTGTCTTGCTGTATGTGCCTGATGCCGGGTAGGCTGGGTCCTAACACGTAAAACTCTCCAGTGGGGAGCAGAGCTGGGGGCCCCTAGCTATCCCCTGACCCCTACTTCACCACAGCATCTGCCAAGGAGTTGGCCTTGAGGTGGCACATGTGCATGAGCCTGGCTCCTTCCCCAACTCTCTGTGCATTTGTAGAGGGCAGGGTTTACTGTTCCTGTCTGGAGGGCCGAGGGAGCCACGTATTCCTTGTGAGGACATTATCAGGTGCTGCTCCTGCAGTGGCCTCTGTTAACAGAAGGAGGGTGCAGTGCTGGAGCCTCAGAAGAGGCTCGTGGAGGCCGCAGTGTGTCTGGTTCTGATTTCTAGGGGTTTGTGAACATCTGTTTGTGGTTTGAAGGCTTTTTGGCTCACCAGGTGGGTCAGATCTCCATAAAAGATGAGCATCTCGCAACGCGGATGCACTGTGGTTTGGCTGTGTGCTAGGTGGACGTGGCACTGCTGCCATGGGAAATGGGAGCCAGCAGTGACCAGGCACCCAGCCAGGCCAGTGCGCCATCCCTGCCGGCGTGGAGCAGAGCCTCTCGTGTGCTCGGGTCCCTGAGGGTGACGGGGGTGGCCCAGTACATGCAGGAGGCCCTTGTCAAGTCTCTGCTTGTCTCTTGTGTCTCTCAATGACCCAGGTATTGCATTCCTGCTGAGGAGGAGAACAAGCTGGAAGATGTGGTCCACACCCTGCTGCAAGCCAATGGCACCCCAGGGCTGCAGATGCTGGAAAGCAACGTCATGGTGCGTCCACTCAGCCACCGCCTCCAGCAGGAGCTGTAGGACCTCCTAGGCACTTGAACATGGTTTCCCATGAACCCGCCTTTCAAAGGCAATGAGGACACAGCAAAACAAATCCCCAGGGTGCAAAGGGAAAGGTCCTCTGACACAAAAGCCAAACTGACCTTCCATCAGATTGCACAGGGCGCTGGGGTTTTGCACGGCCTTTGCATCTGTTTTGGGGCTTGTTTGTGTTGTGGGCTGCTGTGGGCCCTGGGATTTCTTGTGCCCGCCGCTCCTACCTTCTGGGCATGTGAGAGGAATGAGCACAAAGGCTTCTTCACCTGTTTTCAGGAAGTCATGGGGCTGGTGAGTTCCTGGGAAGTGCTGCTTTGAGCTGAGTTCTGACCAGCTTCTCTGGCCTCTGCTGACCCTGCCGGTCCCGCCTGTCCATCTTAGAGAAGAGATGGACGGGGGACTCCTTTGTAAGCCCAGCCTGTGGGCCTGTGGCCTACTTGGCTCTGGAGATGAGCCCGGCAGCCTCCTGGTTGTGTAACCTTGTCCTGTTTCCAGCCCTGGCATTGCCACGTGGGGACAGAGGGGCCTGTGTGGTCATCATGTCCTCAGCTGTGCATGAACCTGTCATCACTCTTGGACCAGTGCAGTTTAGAAGCTCCTTCTTGTGTTATGAATGACGTCTTTTTATTTTCCACATAAAACAATCTTATCTCCTTGAGAGCAGGCCTCTTAGGGTGCGCATACGTCACCTGAAGACTGCAGGTGTCCCTGCGCACAGGGAGGGGTGCCTCAGCCTGGCCCTGTCTCCCCAGATCTCCCCGGAGGTGCTGTGCAAAGAGGGGATCAAGGTGCACAGGACCGTGCAGCAGAGTGGCCAGTTTGTCGTCTGCTTCCCGGGATCCTTTGTGTCCAAAGTGTGCTGTGGGTACAGCGTGTCTGAAACCGTGCACTTTGCTACCACCCAGTGGACAAGTATGGGCTTTGAGACCGCCAAGGTGAGCAGAGCCGGCCTCCTCCCGCTTGCTGCCCCCGCATCCCTGTGAGTGCCGTGCGTGAGCGCACACAGAAGCATCCCTGCGTGTGCGTGTCTATTTGTCAATAGTTCCTTTTGGAATATGTCTTTGAAATTCTTAAGACGTGGTTGAAAGGTCTTCTAGGAATGAAAAGTTGTTAGGGATTTGTTTGTATCACAAAGAGTTTTGATCAGACCGTTACTGACAGACCCCTCCAGTATTGGAAAACTGTTGAAGATGCTCAAGGTAATTGCTTAGAATGGACAGAGAACCTCCACCCATCGTGAGGGAGTGGCAGCTGCCTCTGGGTAGCGGCGAAGTGCTATGACTTTTCCTGGTATGTGGTGCCTTTCTCACAGGGAGGCAAAGTTTTGAAGAGTTTTTAATCTAAATGCAATTCAAGATTTAGAAATTCAGACAGCCTGCCTGCCCCCTCCACCAAGAAGAACCTTGACAGCTGCCTAGTAATGAAAATCCACCCTAAAGGGATGTGACTCCTCTTTCAGGAAATGAAGCGTCGCCATATAGCTAAGCCATTCTCCATGGAGAAGTTACTCTACCAGATTGCACAAGCAGAAGCAAAAAAAGAAAACGGTCCCACTCTCAGTACCATCTCAGCCCTCCTGGATGAGCTCAGGTAACAGACCCCCAGAGCCCACGCCAGAGAGCTGGACCCGGCTGCCCTTCGGGGGCTCACCCCCCGAGCAGGCCTCACTTCCTGACAGGAGGGTGTGTCTGCAGGGAGGCCGGTGTGGGGTGCGTGTGTCCCCTCTGCTGGTGAGCATGGCAGGCCGTCACTAAAGGTGCGGGCCGTCTCCCGTGTCTGGCAGGGATACAGAGCTGCGGCAGCGCAGGCAGCTGTTCGAGGCTGGCCTCCACTCCTCCGCACGCTATGGCAGCCACGATGGCAGCAGCACGGTGGCGGACGGGAAGAAAAAGCCTCGAAAGTGGCTGCAGTTGGAGACGTCAGAGAGGAGGTGTCAGATCTGCCAGCACCTGTGCTACCTGTCCATGGTGAGCCCGCCTGGCCCTGCCGGCGCCCTCGCATGTAGTGCTTGGCCTGAGAGCTCCGGGGTTGCCCCCAGAAGAGGGAGGGCGCTCTCTGCCCAGGAGACCTGCTGTGCTCCCATCTCTGGAGCCGGCTGTGGGACCTCGGCGGAGCTTCTGGCCGCCGGAGGTGGCTGCCTCACCCACAGTGACCAGGCCACACAGAGGCTGTCCCTCTGTTCTGCCCACGCGTGGCCCTCCCTCGGTCCTGCAGTGCGTCCTTCCTCCCTGGGGAGCAGGTGGCCTCCCTCTCCGCCCTACTTTGTCACTCCAGCCCCCACGCACTCTGCTCTTACCCATTCTTTCTGAGGCAGTGAGGGGCGGGTTTCCAGTACTGGGCAGCGTCTGCCATTCCCTGTGGCCTGTGCCTGGTGCACCTGGGCCCATGGCCTCTGCCCTTTGGCTCTGTTCTTGGTTTCCTGGTCCTGCTCAGCTACATGATCTGCCTCAGCCCCCGAGGACTTCAGAATCTATCCTTGGTGAAAGCTGATGTTCCTCCTGTCCCATCTGGGATCAGAGATGCTTTTCTGGCACAGCCACTCCAGGCCACAGCAGGCTGCATTCCTCTTGCCTTCTCGACTGTGCCCTGCTGGCTTCCTCGTGCCCACCTGCCTGCCTCAGCTTTGGGGTTAATACCAAACACCTCCTCCCCCTGCTCACCCCTGTTCCAGCCCAGAGGTGGGCTCAGAAAAGCCCTTCCATGGCGACTGGATGGCTGTGGCCTCGCCATGCTTCTTCCAGTCTCCCCTTGACCTCTCACCAGAGAGCTGCCCTGACACACTCTGGGTAGGGACGCCCAGCTGGCACTGCAGATGGCTCCACAGCACTACACACCTTAGCCTGGAACAGAGAGCATGCCCGAAGGGCCTGACCTGCCTCCCCGGGCCTCGTCCCTTTCCACAGTGCCTCACATCTCCAGTACAGAAGCCTAGCTTAGGAGGTGCCCACCCCATATGCTGTGTGGTGCCTGTGTCCCACAGGTGCCCCCTTCGGCTGCACACTCGCTGAGAGGCCAGTGCCTCTGCGTCCCTCTGCTTGTCCATGGTGGGCCAGGACTGAGACCCGGGTCGACTCTCCTTGGCCTCCCAGT